>NC_000002.12:92188145-92270980 GCF_000001405.40 Homo sapiens
AGCATTCCCAGAAACTTCTTTGTGAAGTTTGCATTCAAGTCACAGAGTTGAACATTCCCTTTCATAGAGCAGGTTTGAAACACTCTTTTTGTAGTATCTGTATGTGGACATTTGGAGCGCTTTCAGGCCTATGGTGAAAAAGGAAATATCTTCCCCTGAAAACTAGACAGAAGCATTCTCAGAATCTTATTTGTGATGTGCGCCCTCAACTAACAGTGTTGAAGCTTTCTTTTGATAGAGCAGTTTTGAAACACTCTTTTTGTAAAATCTGCAACAGGATATTTGGATAGCTTTGAGGATTTCGTTGGAAACGGGATTGTCTTCATATAAACTCTAGACAGAAGCATTCTCAGAAGCTTCATTGGGATGTTTCAATTGAAGTCACAGTGTTGAACAGTCCCTTTCATAGAGCAGGTTTGAAACACTCTTTTTGTAGTATCTGGAAGTGGACATTTGGAGCGCTCTCAGGACTGCGGTGAAAAAGGAAATATCTTCCAATAAAAGCTAGATAGAAGCAAAGTCAGAAACTTTTTAATGATCTATCTACTCAGCTAACAGAGTTGAACCTTTCTTTTGAGAGAGCAGTTTTGAAACACTCTTTTGGTGGAATCTGCAAGTGGATATTTGTCTAGCTTTGAGGATTTCGTTGGATACGGGATTACATATAAAAAGCAGACAGCAGCATTCCCAGCAAACTTCTTTGTGATGTTTGCATTCAAGTCACAGAGTTGAACATTCCCTTTCATAGAGCAGGTTTGAAACACTCTTTTTGTAGTATCTGGATGTGGACATTTGGAGCGCTTTCAGGCCTATGCTGAAAAAGGAAATATCTTCCCCTGAAAACTAGACAGAAGCATTCTCAGAATCTTATTTGTGATGTGCGCCCTCAACTAACAGAGTTGAAGCTTTCTTTTGATAGAGCAGTTTTGAAACACTCTTTTTGTAAAATCTGCAAGAGGATATTTGGATAGCTTTGAGGATTTCGTTGGAAACGGGATTGTCTTCATATAAACTCTAGACAGAAGCATTCTCAGAAGCTTCATTGGGATGTTTCAATTGAAGTCACAGTGTTGAACAGTCCCTTTCATAGAGCAGGTTTGAAACACTCTTTTTGTAGTATCTGGAAGTGGACATTTCGAACGCTCTCAGGACTGCGGTGAAAAAGGAAATATCTTCCAATAAAAGCTAGATAGAAGCAATGTCAGAAACTTTTTCATGATGTATCTACTCAGCTAACAGAGTTGAACCTTTCTTTTGAGAGAGCAGTTTTGAAACACTCTTTTTGTGGAATCTGCAAGTGGATATTAGTCTAGCTTTGAGGATTTCGTTGGAAACGGGATTACATATAAAAAGCAGACAGCAGCATTCCCAGTAACTTCTTTGTGATGTTTGCATTCAAGTCACAGAGTTGAACATTCCCTTTCATAGAGCAGGTTTGAAACACTTTTTTTGTAGTATCTGGATGTGGATATTTGGAGCGCTTTCAGGCCTATGGTGAAAAAGGAAATATCTTCCAATAAAAGCTACATAGAAGCAATGTCACAAACTTTTTCATGATGTATCTACTCAGCTAACAGAGTTGAACCTTTCTTTTGAGAGAGCAGTTTTGAAACACTCTTTTTGTGTAATCTGAAAGTGGATATTTGTCTAGCTTTGAGGATTTCGTTGGAAACGGGATTACATATAAAAAGCAGACAGCAGCATTCCCCGAAACTTCTTTGTGTTCTTTGCATTCAAGTCACAGATTTGAACATTCCCTTTCATAGAGCAGGTTTGAAACACTCTTTTTGTAGTATCTGGATGTGGACATTTAGAGAGCTTTGAGGCCTATGGTGAAAAAGGAAATCTCTTCCCCTGAAAACTAGACAGAAGAATTCTTAGAATCTTATTTGTGATGTGCGCCCTCAACTAACAGTGTTGAAGCTTTCTTTTGATAGAGCAGTTTTGAAACACTCTTTTTGTAAAATCTGCAAGAGGATATTTGGATAGCTTTGAGGATTTCCGTTGGAAACGGGATTGTCTTCATATAAACTCTAGACAGAAGCATTCTCAGAAGCGTCATTGGGATGTTTCAATTGAAGTCACAGTGTTGAACAGTCCCTTTCATAGAGCAGGTTTGAAACACTCTTTTTGTAGTATCTGGATGTGGACATTTGGAGCGCTTTCAGGCCTATGGTTTAAAAGGAAATATCTTCCCCTGAAAACTAGACAGAAGCATTCTCAGAAACTTATTTGTGATGTGCGCCCTCAACTAACAGTGTTGAAGCATTCTTTTGATAGAGCAGTTTTGAAACACTCTTTTTGTGGAATCTGCAAGTGGATATTTGTCTAGATTTGAGGATTTCGTTGGAAACGGGATTACATATAAAAAGCAGACAGCAGCATTCTCAGAAACTTATTTGTGATGTGCGCCCTCAACTAACAGTGTTGAAGCTTTCTTTTGATAGAGCAGTTTTGAAACACTCTTTTTGTAATATCTGCAAGAGGATATTTGGATAGCTTTGAGGATTTCGTTGGAAACGGGATTAATTATACAAAGCAGACAGCATCATTCTCAGAAGCTTCATTGGGATGTTTCAATTGAAGTCACAGTGTTGAACAGTCCCTTTCATAGAGCAGATTTGAAACACTCTTTTTGTAGTATCTGGAAGTGGACATTTGGAGCGTTCTCAGGACTACAGTGAAAAAGGAAATATCTTCCAATAAAAGCTAGATAGAAGCAATGTCAGAAAATTTTTCATGATGTATCTACTCAGCTAACAGGGTTGAACCTTTCTTTTGAGAGAGCAGTTTTGAAACACTCTTTTTGTGGAATCTGCAAGTGGATATTTGTCTAGCTTTGAGGATTGCGTTGGAAACGGGATTACATATAAAAAGCAGACAGCAGCATTCCCAGAAACTTCTTCGTGATATTTGCATTCAAGTCAGAGACTTGAACATTCCCCTTCATAGAGCAGGTTTGAAACACTCTTTTTGTAGTATCTGGATGTGGACATTTGGAGCGCTTTCAGGCCTATGGTGAAAAAGGAAATATCTTCCCCTGAAAACTAGACAGAAGCATTCTCAGAAACTTATTTGTGATGTGCGCCCTCAACTAACAGTGTTGAAGCTTTCTTTTGATAGAGCAGTTTTGAAACACTCTTTTTGTAAAATCTGCAAGAGGATATTTGGATAGCTTTGAGGATTTCGTTGGAAACGGGATTGTCTTCATATACAATCTAGACAGAAGCATTCTCAGAAGCTTCATTGGGATGTTTCAATTGAAGTCACAGTGTTGAACAGTCCCTTTCGTAGAGCAGGTTTGAAACACTCTTTTTGTAATATCTGGAAGTGGACATTTGGAGCGTTCTCAGGACTATGGTGAAAAAGGAAATATCTTCCAATAAAAGCTAGATAGAAGCAATGTCAGAAACTTTTTCATGATGTATCTACTCAGCTAACAGAGTTGAACCTTTCTTTTGAGAGAGCCGTTTTGAAACACTCTTTTTGTGGAATCTGCAAGTGGATATTTGTCTAGATTTGAGGATTTCGTTGGAAACGGGATTACATATAAAAAGCAGACAGCAGCATTCCCAGAAACTTCTTTGAGATGTTTGCATTCCAGTCACAGATTTGAACATTCCCTTTCATAGAGCAGGTTTGAAACACTCTTTTTGTAGTATCTGGATGTGGACATTTGGAGCGCTTTCAGGCCTATGGTGAAAAAGGAAATATCTTCCCCTGAAAACTAGACAGAAGCATTCTCAGAAACTTATTTGTGATGTGCGCCCTCAACTAACAGTGTTGAAGCTTTCTTTTGATAGAGCAGTTTTGAAACACTCTTTTTGTAATATCTGCAAGAGGATATTTGGATAGCTTTGAGGATTTCGTTGGAAACGGGATTGTCTTCATATAAACTCTAGACAGAAGCATTCTCAGAAGCTTCATTGGGATGTTTCAATTGAAGTCACAGTGTTGAACAGTCCCTTTCATAGAGCAGGTTTGAAACACTCTTTTTGTAGTATCTGGAAGTGGACATTTGGAGAGATCTCAGGACTACGGTGAAAAAGGAAATATCTTCCAATAAAAGCTAGATAGAAGCAATGTCAGAAACTTTTTCATGATGTATCTACTCAGCTAACAGAGTTGAACCTTTCTTTTGAGAGAGCAGTATTGAAACACTCTTTTTGTGGAATCTGCAAGTGGATATTTTTCTAGCTTTGAGGATTTCGTTGGAAACGGGATTACATATAAAAAGCAGACAGCAGCATTCCCAGAAACTTCTTTGTGATGTTTGCATTCAAGTCACAGAGTTGAACATTCCCTTTCATACAGCAGGTTTGAAACACTCTTTTTGTAGTATCTGGATGTGTACATCTGCAGCACTTTCAGGCCTAAGGTGAAAAAGGAAATATCTTCCCCTGAAAACTAGACAGAAGCATTCTCAGAATCTTATTTTTGATGTGCGCCCTCAACTAACAGTGTTGAAGCTTTCTTTTGATAGAGCAGTTTTGAAACACTCTTTTTGTAAAATCTGCAAGAGGATATTTGGATAGCTTTGAGGATTTCGTTGGAAACGGTATTGTCTTCATATAAATTCTAGACAGAAGCATTCTCAGAAGCTTCATTGGGATGTTTCAATTGAAGTCACAGTGTTGAACAGTCCCTTTCATAGAGCAGGTTTGAAACACTCCTTTTGTAGTATCTGGATGTGGACATTTGGAGCGCTTTCAGGCCTATGGTGAAAAAGGAAATATCTTCCACTGAAAACTAGACAGAAGCATTCTCAGAAACTTATTTGTGATGTGCGCCCTCAACTAACAGTGTTGAAGCATTCTTTTGATAGAGCAGTATTGAAACACTCTTTTTGTGGAATCTGCAAGTGGATATTTGTCTAGCTTTGAGGATTTCGTTGGAAACGGGATTACATATAAAAAGCAGACAGCAGCATTCCCAGAAACTTCTTTGTGATGTTTGCATTCAAGTCACAGAGTTGAACATTCCCTTTCATAGAGCAGGTTTGAAACACTCTTTTTGTACTATCTGGATGTGGACATTTGGAGCGCTTTCAGGCCTATGGTGAAAAAGGAAATATCTTCCCCTGAAAACTAGACAGAAGCATTCTGAGAATCTTATTTGTGATGTGCGCCCTCAACTAACAGTGTTGAAGCTTTCTTTTGATAGACCAGTTTTGAAACACTCTTTTTGTAAAATCTGCAAGAAGATATTTGGATAGCTTTGAGGATTTCATTGGAAACGGGATTGTCTTCATATAAACTCTAGACAGAAGCATTCTCAGAAGCGTCATTGGGATGTTTGAATTGAAGTCACAGTGTTGAACAGTCCCTTTCATAGAGCAGGTTTGAAACACTCTTTTTGTAGTATCTGGATGTGGACATTTGGAGAGATCTCAGGAATACGGTGATAAAGGAAATATCTTCCAATAAAAGCTAGATAGAAGCAATGTCAGAAACTTTTTCATGATGTATCTACTCAGCTAACAGAGTTAAACCTTTCTTTTGAGAGAGCAGTTTTGAAACACTCTTTTTGTGGAATCTGCAAGTGGATATTTGTCTAGCTTTGAGGATTTCGTTGGAAACATGATTACATATAAAAAGCAGATAGCAGCATTCCCAGTAACTTCTTTGTGATGTTTGCATTCAAGTCACAGAGTTGAACATTCCCTTTCATACAGCAGGTTTGAAACACTCTTTTTGTAGTATCTGGATGTGGACATTTGGAGTGCTTTCAGGCCTATGGTGAAAAAGGAAATATCTTCCCCTGAAAACTAGACAGAAGTATTATCAGAAACTTATTTGTGATGTGCGCCCTCAACTAACAGTGTTGAAGCTTTCTTTTGATAGAGCAGTTTTGAAATATTCTTTTTGTAAAATCTGCAAGAAGATATTTGGATAGCTTTGAGGATTTCGTTGGAAACGGGATTGTCTTCATGTTAACCCTTGACAGTAGCATTCTCAGAAGCTTCATTGGGATGTTTCAATTGAAGTCACAGTGTTGAACAGTCCCTTTCATAGAGCAGGTTTGAAACACTCTTTTTGTAGTATCTGGAAGTGGACATTTGGAGCGCTCTCAGGACTACGGTGAAAAAGGAAGTATCTTCCAATAAAAGCTAGATAGAAGCAATGTCAGAAACTTTTTCATGATGTATCTACTCAGCTAACAGAGTTGAACCTTCCTTTGAGAGAGCAGTTTTGAAACACTCTTTTTGTGGAATCTGCAAGTGGATATTTGTCTAGCTTTCAGGATTTCGTTAGAAACGGGATTACATTTAAAAAGCAGACAGCAGCATTCCCAGAAACTTCTTTGTGAAGTTTGCATTCAAGTCACAGAGTTGAACATTCCCTTTCATAGAGCAGGTTTGAAACACTCTTTTTGTAGTATCTGTATGTGGACATTTGGAGCGCTTTCAGGCCTATGGTGAAAAAGGAAATATCTTCCCCTGAAAACTAGACAGAAGCATTCTCAGAATCTTATTTGTGATGTGCGCCCTCAACTAACAGTGTTGAAGCTTTCTTTTGATAGAGCAGTTTTGAAACACACTTTTTGTAAAATCTGCAAGAGGATATTTGGATAGCTATGAGGATTTCGTTGGAAACAGGATTGTCTTCATATAAACTCTAGACAGAGGCATTCTCAGAAGCTTCATTGGGATGTTTCAATTGAAGTCACAGTGTTGAACATTCCCTTTCATAGAGCAGGTTTGAAACACTCTTTTTGTAGTATCTGGAAGTGGACATTTGGAGCGCTCTCAAGACTACGGTGAAAAAGGAAGTATCTTCCAATAAATGCTATACAGAAGCAATGTCAGAAACTTTTTCATGATGTATCTACTCAGCTAACAGAGTTGAACCTTTCTTTTGAGAGAGCAGTTTTGAAGAACTCTTTTTGTGGAATCTGGAAGTGGATATTTGTCTAGCTTTGAGGATTTCGTTGGAAACGGGATTACATATAAAAAGCAGACAGCAGCATTCCCAGTAACTTCTTTGTGATGTTTGCATTCAAGTCACAGAGTTGAACATTCCCTTTCATAGAGCAGATTTGAAACACTCTTTTTGTAGTAACTGGATGTGGACATTTGCAGCGCTTTCAGGCCTAAGGTGAAAAAGGAAATATCTTCCCCTGAAAACTAGACAGAAGCATTCTCAGAAACTTATTTGTGATGTGCGCCCTCAACTAACAGTGTTGAAGCTTTCTTTTGATAGAGCAGTTTTGAAACACTCTTTTTGTGGAATCTGCAAGTGGATATTTGTCTAGCTTTGAGGATTTCGTTGGAAACGGGATTACATATAAAAAGCAGACAGCAGCATTCCCAGAATCTTGTTTGTGATGTTTGCATTCAAGTCACAGAGTTGAACATTCCCTTTCAGAGAGCAGGTTTGAAACACTCTTTTTATAGTATCTGGATGTGGACATTTGGAGTGCTTTCAGGCCTATGGTGAAAAAGGAAATATCTTCTCCTGAAAACTAGACAGAAGCATTCTCAGAAACTTATTTGTGATGTGCGCCCTCAACTAACAGTGTTGAAGCTTTCTTCTGATAGAGCAGTTTTGAAACACTCTTTTTGTAATATCTGCAAGAGGATATTTGGATAGCTTTGAGGATTTCATTGGAAACGGGATTGTCTTCATATAAACTCTAGACAGAAGCATTCCCAGAAGCTTCATTGGGATGTTTCAATTGAAGTCACAGTGTTGAACAGTCCCTTTCATAGAGCAGGTTTGAAACACTCTTTTTGTAGTATCTGGAAGTGGACATTTGGAACGCTCACAGGACTGCGTTGAAAAAGGAAATATCTTCCAATAAAAGCTAGATAGAAGCAATGTCAGAAACTTTTTCATGATGTATCTACTCAGCTAACAGAGTTGAACCTTCATTTGAGAGAGCAGTTTTGAAACACTCGTTTTGTGGAATCTGCAAGTGGATATTTGTCTAGCTTTGAGGATTTCGTTGGAAACGGGATTACATATAAAAAGCAGACAGCAGCATTCCCAGAAACTTCTTTGTGATGTTTGCATTCTAGTCACAGAGTTGAACATTCCCTTTCATAGAGCAGGTTTGAAACACTCTTTTTGTAGTATCTGGATGTGGACATTTGCAGCGCTTTCAGGCCTAAGGTGAAAAAGGAAATATCTTCCCCTGAAAACTAGACAGAAGCATTCTCAGAATCTTATTTGTGATGTGCGCCCTCAACTAACAGAGTTGAAGCTTTCTTTTGATAGAGCAGTTTTGAAACACTCTTTTTGTAAAATCTGCAAGAGGATATTTGGATAGCTTTGAGGATTTCGTTGGAAACGGGATTGTCTTCATATAAACTCTAGACAGAAGCATTCTCAGAAGCTTCATTGGGATGTTTCAATTGAAGTCACAGTGTTGAACAGTCCCTTTCATAGAGCAGGTTTGAAACACTCTTTTTGTAGTATCTGGAAGTGGACATTTGGAGCGCTCTCAGGACTACGGTGAAAAAGGAAATATCTTCCAATAAAAGCTAGATAGAAGCAATGTCAGAAACATTTTCATGATGCATCTACTCAGCTAATAGAATTGAACCTTTCTTTTGAGAGAGCAGTTTTGAAACACTCTTTTTGTGGAATCTGCAAGTGGATATTTGTCTAGCTTTGAGGATTTCGTTGGAAACGGGATTACATATAAAAAGCAGACAGCAGCATTACCAGAAAGTTCTTTGTGAAATTTGCATTCAAGTCACAGACTTGAACATTTCCTTTCATAGAGCAGGTTTGAAACACTCTTTTTGTAGTATCTGGATGTGGACATTTGGAGCGCTTTCAGGCCTATGGTGAAAAAGGAAATATCTTCCCCTGAAAACTAGACAGAATCATTCTCAGAAACTTATTTGTGATGTGCGCCCTCAACTAACAGTGTTGAAGCTTTCTTTTGATAGAGCAGTTTTGAAACACTCTTTTTGTAAAATCTGCAAGAGGATATTTGGATAGCTTGGAGGATTTCGTTGGAAACGGGATTGTCTTCATATTAACCCTAGACAGTTGCATTCTCAGAAGCTTCATTGGGATGTTTCAATTGAAGTCACAGTGTTGAACAGTCCCTTTCATAGAGCAGGTTTGAAACACTCTTTTTGTAGCATCTGGAAGTGGACATTTGGAGCGTTCTCAGGACTACGGTGAAAAAGGAAATATCTTCCAATAAAAGCTAGATAGAAGCAATGTCAGAAACTTTTTCATGATGTATCTACTCAGCTAAAAGAGTTGAACCTTTCTTTTGAGAGAGCAGTTTTGAAACACTATTTTTGTGGAATCTGCAAGTGGATATTTGTCTAGCTTTGAGGATTTCGTTGGAAACGGGATTACATATAAAAAGCAGACAGCAGCATTCCCAGAAACTTCTTTGTGAAATTTGCATTCAAGTCACAGACTTGAACATTCCCTTTCATAGAGCAGGTTTGAAACACTCTTTTTGTAGTATCTGGATGTGGACATTTGGAGCGCTTTCAGGCCTATGGTGAAAAAGGAAATATCTTCCCCTGTAAACTAGACAGAAGCATTCTCAGAATCTTATTTGTGATGTGCGCCCTCAACTAACAGTGTTGAAGCTTTCTTTTGATAGAGCAGTTTTGAAACACTCTTTTCGTAAAATCTGCAAGAGGATATTTGGATAGCTTTGAGGATTTCGTTGGAAACGGGATTGTCTTCATATAAACTACTAGACAGAAGCATTCTGAGAAGCTTCATTGGGATGTTTCAATTAAAGTCACAGTGTTGAACAGTCCCTTTCATAGAGCAGGTTTGAAACACTCTTTTTGTAGTATCTGGAAGTGGACATTTGGAGAGATCTCAGGAATACGGTGATAAAGGAAATATCTTCCAATAAAAGCTAGATAGAAGCAATGTCAGAAACTTTTTCATGATGTATCTACTCAGCTAACAGAGTTGAACCTTTCTTTTGAGAGAGCAGTTTTGAAACACTCTTTTTGTGGTATCTGGAAGTGGATATTTGTCTAGCTTTGAGGATTTCGTTGGAAACGGGATTACATATAAAAAGCAGACAGCAGCATTCCCAGAATCTTCTTTGTGATGTTTGCATTCAAGTCACAGAGTTGAACATTCCCTTTCATAGAGCAGGTTTGAAACACTCTTTTTGTAGTATCTGGATGTGGACATTTGGAGCGCTTTCAGGCCTATGGTGAAAAAGGAAATATCTTCCCCTGAAAACTAGACAGAAGCATTCTCAGAAACTTATTTGTGATGTGCGCACTCAACTAACAGTGTTAAACCTTTCTTTTGATAGAGTAGTTTTGAAACACTCTTTTTGTAAAATGTGCAATGGGATATTTGGATAGCTTTGAGGATTTCGTTGGAAACGGGATTGTCTTCATATAAACTCTAGACAGTAGCATTCTCCGAAGCTTCATTGGGATGTTTCAATTGAAGTCACAGTGTTGAACAGTCCCTTTCATAGAGCAGGTTTGAAACACTCTTTTTGTAGTATCTGGAAGTGGACATTTGGAGAGTTCTCAGGACTACGGTGAAAAAGGAAATATCTTCCAATAAAAGCTAGATAGAAGCAATGTCAGAAACTTTTTCATGATGTATCTACTCAGCTAACAGAGTTGAACCTTTCTTTTGAGAGAGCAGTTTTGAAACACTCTTTTTGTGGAATCTGCAAGTGGATATTTGTCTAGCTTTGAGGACTTCGTTGGAAACGGGATTACATATAAAAAGCAGACAGCAGCATTCCCAGTAACTTCTTTGTGATGTTTGCATTCAAGTCACAGAGTTGAACATTCCCTTTCATAGAGCAGGTTTGAAACACTTTTTTTGTAGTATCTGGATGTGGACATTTGGAGCGCTTTCAGGCCTATGGTGAAAAAGGAAATATCTTCCAATAAAAGCTACATAGAAGCAATGTCAGAAACTTTTTCATGATGTATCTACTCAGCTAACAGAGTTGAACCTTTCTTTTGAGAGAGCAGTTTTGAAACACTCTTTTTGTGGAATCTGGAAGTGGATATTTGTCTAGCTTTGAGGATTTCGTTGGAAACGGGATTACATATAAAAAGCAGACAGCAGCATTCCCAGTAACTTCTTTGTGATGTTTGCATTCAAGTCACAGAGTTGAACATTCCCTTTCATAGAGCAGGTTTGAAACACTCTTTTTGTAGTATCTGGATGTGGACATTTGGAGCGCTTTCAGGCCTATGGTGAAAAAGGAAATATCTTCCCCAGAAAACTAGACAGAAGCATTCTCAGAATCTTATTTGTGATGTGCGCCCTCAACTAACAGTGTTGAAGCTTTCTTTTGATAGAGCAGTTTTGAAACCCTCTTTTCGTAAAATCTGCAAGAGGATATTTTGATAGCTTTGAGGATTTCGTTGGAAACGGGATTGTCTTCATATAAACTCTAGACAGAAGCATTCTCAGAAGCTTCATTGGGATGTTTCAATTGAAGTCACAGTGTTGAACAGTTCCTTTCATAGAACAGGTTTGAAACACTCTTTTTGTAGTATCTGGAAGTGGACATTTGGAGCGCTCTCAGGACTATGGTGAAAAAGGAAATATCTTCCAATAAAAGCTACATAGAAGCAATGTCAGAAACTTTTTCATGATGTATCTACTCAGCTAACAGAGTTGAACCTTTCCTTTGAGAGAGCAGTTTTGAAACACTCTTTTTGTGGAATCTGCAAGTGGATATTTGTCTAGCTTTGAGGATTTCTTTGGAAACGGGATTACATATAAAAAGCAGACAGCAGCATTCCCAGTAACTTCTTTGTGATGTTTGCATTCAAGTCACAGAGTTGAACATTCCCTTTCATAGAGCAGGTTTGAAACACTCTTTTTGTAGTATCTGGATGTGGACATTTGGAGCGCTTTCAGGCCTAGGGTGAAAAAGGAAATATCTTCCCCTGAAAACTAGACAGAAGCATTCTCAGAAACTTATTTGTGATGTGCGCCCTCAACTAACAGTGTTGAACCTTTCTTTTGATAGAGCAGTTTTGAAACACTCTTTTTGTAATATCTGCAAGAGGATATTTGGATAGCTTTGAGGATTTCGTTGGAAACGGGATTACATATAAAAAGCAGACAGCAGCATTCCCAGAATCTTGTTTGTGATGTTTGCATTCAAGTCACAGAGTTGAACATTCCCTTTCAGAGAGCTGGTTTGAAACACTCTTTATATAGTATCTGGATGTGGACATTTGGAGCGCTTTCAGGCCTATGGTGAAAAAGGAAATATCTTCTCCTGAAAACTAGACAGAAGCATTCTCAGAATCTTATTTGTGATGTGCGCCCTCAACTAACAGTGTTGAAGCTTTCTTTTGATAGAGCAGTTTTGAAACACTCTTTTCGTAAAATCTGCAGGAGGATATTTTGATAGCTTTGAGGATTTCGTTGGAAACGGGATTGTCTTCATATAAACTCTAGACAGAAGCATTCTCAGAAGCTTCGTTGGGATGTTTCAATTGAAGTCACAGTGTTGAACAGTTCCTTTCATAGAACAGGTTTGAAACACTCTTTTTGTAGTATCTGGAAGTGGACATTTGGAGCGCTCTCAGGACTGCGGTGAAAAAGGATATATCTTCCAATAAAAGATAGATAGAAGCAATGTCAGAAACTTTTTCATGATGTATCTACTCAGCTAACAGAGTTGAACCTTTCCTTTCAGAGAGCAGTTTTGAAACACTCTTTTTGTGGAATCTGCAAGTGGATATTTGTCTAGCTTTGAGGATTTCGTTGGAAACGGGATTACATATAAAAAGCAGACAGCAGCATTCCCAGAATCTTCTTTGTGATGTTTGCATTCAAGTCACAGAGTTGAACATTCCCTTTCATAGAGCAGGTTTCAAACACTCTTTTTGTAGTATCTGGATGTGGACATTTGGAGCGCTTTCAGGCCTATGGTGAAAAAGGAAATATCTTCCCCTGAAAACTAGACAGAAGCATTCTCAGAATCTTATTTGTGATGTGCGCCCTCAACTAACAGTGTTGAAGCTTTCTTTTGATAGAGCAGTTTTGAAACACTCTTTTTGTAAAATCTGCAAGAGGATATTTGGATAGCTTTGAGGATTTCGTTGGAAACGGGATTGTCTTCATAGAAACTCTAGACAGAAGCATTCTCATTAGCTTCATTGGGATGTTTCAATTGAAGTCACAGTGTTGAACAGTCCCTTTCATAGAGCAGGTTTGAAACACTCTTTTTGTAGTATCTGGAAGTGGACATTTGGAACGCTCTCAGGACTGCGGTGAAAAAGGAAATATCTTCCAATAAAAGCTACATAGAAGCAATGTCAGAAACTTTTTCATGATGTATCTACTCAGCTAACAGAGTTGAACCTTTCTTTTGAGAGAGCAGTTTTGAAACACTCTTTTTGTAAAATCTGCAAGAGGATATTTGGATAGCTTTGAGGATTTCGTTGGAAACGGGATTGTCTTCATATAAACTCTAGACAGAAGCATTCTCAGAAGCGTCATTGGGATGTTTCAATTGAAGTCACAGTGTTGAACAGTCCCTTTCATAGAGCAGGTTTGAAACACTCTTTTTGTAGTATCTGGATGTGGACATTTGGAGCGCTTTCAGGCCTATGGTTTAAAAGGAAATATCTTCCCCTGAAAACTAGACAGAAGCATTCTCAGAAACTTATTTGTGATGTGCGCCTTCAACTAACAGTGTTGAAGCATTCTTTTGATAGAGCAGTTTTGAAACACTCTTTTTGTGGAATCTGCAAGTGGATATTTGTCTAGCTTTGAGGATTTCGTTGGAAACGGGATTACATATAAAAAGCAGACAGCAGCATTCCCAGAAACTTCTTTGTGATGTTTGCATTCAAGTCACAGAGTTGAACATTCCCTTTCAGAGAGCAGGTTTGAAACACTCTTTTTGTAGTATCTGGATGTGGACATTTGGAGCGCTTTCAGGCCTATGGTGAAAAAGGAAATATCTTCCCCTGAAAACTAGACAGAAGAATTCTCAGAAACAAGTTTGTGATGTGTGTACTCAACTAACAGAGTTGAAGCTTTCTTTTGATAGAGCAGTTTTGAAACTCTCTTTTTGTAGAATCTGCAAGTGGATATTTGGATAGCTTTGAGGGTTTCGTTGGAAACGGGAATATCTTCATATAAAATCTAGACAGAAGCATTCTCAGAAACTTCCTTGTGATGCTTGCATTCAAGTCACAGAGTTGAACATTCCCTTTCATAGAGCAGGTTTGAAACACTCTTTTTGTAGTATCTGGAAGTGGACATTGAGAGCGCTCTCAGGACTACGGTGAAAAAGGAAATATCTTCCAATAAAAGCTAGATAGAAGCAATGTCAGAAACTTTTTCATGATGTATCTACTCAGCTAACAGAGTTGAACCTTTCTTTTGAGAGAGCAGTTTTGAAACACTCTTTTTGTGGAATCTGCAAGTGGATATTTGTCTAGCTTTGAGGATTTCTTTGGAAACGGGAATACATATAAAAAGCAGACAGCAGCATTCCCAGTAACTTCTTTGTGATGTTTGCATTCAAGTCACAGAGTTGAACATTCCCTTTCATAGAGCAGGTTTGAAACACTCTTTTTGTAGGATCTGAATGTGGACATTTGGAGCGCTTTCAGGCCTATGGTGAAAAAGGAAATATCTTCCCCTGAAAACTAGACAGAAGCATTCTCAGAAACTTATTTGTGATGTGCGCCCTCAACTAACAGTGTTGAACCTTTCTTTTGATAGAGCAGTTTAGAAACACTCTTTTTGTAAAATCTGCAAGAGGATATTTGGATAGCTTTGAGGATTTCGTTGGAAACGGGATTGTCTTCATATAAAATCTAGACAGAAGCATTCTCAGAAGCTTCATTGGGATGTTTCAATTGAAGTCACAGTGTTGAACAGTCCCTTTCATAGAGCAGGTTTGAAACACTCTTTTTGTAGTATCTGGAAGTGGACATTTGGAGAGATCTCAGGACTACGGTGAAAAAGGAAATATCTTCCAATAAAAGCTAGATAGAAAGCAATGTCAGAAAATTTTTCATGATGTATCTACTCAGCTAACAGAGTTGAACCTTTCTTTTGAGAGAGCAGTTTTGAAACACTCTTTTTGTGGAATCTGCAAGTGGATATTTGTCTAGGTTTGAGGATTGCGTTTGAAACGGGATTACATATAAAAAGCAGACAGCAGCATTCCCAGAAACTTCTTTGTGATGTTTGCATTCAAGTCACAGAGTTGAACATTCCCTTTCATAGAGCAGGTTTGAAACACTCTTTTTGTAGTATCTGGATGTGGACATTTGGAGCGCTTTCAGGCTTATGGTGAAAAAGGAAATATCTTCCCCTGAAAACTAGACAGAAGCATTCTCAGAATCTTATTTGTGATGTGCGCCCTCAACTAACAGAGTTGAAGCTTTCTTTTGATAGAGCAGTTTTGAAACACTCTTTTTGTAAAATCTGCAAGAGGATATTTGGATAGCTTTGAGGATTTCGTTGGAAACGGGATTGTCTTCATATAAACTCTAGACAGAAGCATTCTCAGAAGCTTCATTGGGATGTTTCAATTGAAGTCACAGTGTTGAACAGTCCCTTTCATAGAGCAGGTTTGAAACACTCTTTTTGTAGTATCTGGAAGTGGACATTTGGAGCGCTCTCAGGACTGCGGTGAAAAAGGAAATATCTTCCAATAAAAGCTAGATAGAAGCAATGTCAGAAACTTTTTCATGATGTATCTACTCAGCTAACAGAGTTGAACCTTCCTTTGAGAGAGCAGTTTTGAAACACTCGTTTTGTGGAATCTGCAAGTGGATATTTGTCTAGCTTTGAGGATTTCGTTGGAAACGGGATTACATATAAAAAGCAGACAGCAGCATTCCCAGTAACTTCTTTCTGATGTTTGCATTCAAGTCACAGAGTTGAACGTTCCCTTTCATAGAGCAGGTTTGAAACACTCTTTTTGAAGTATCTGGATGTGGACATTTGGAGCGCTTTCAGGCCTATGGTGAAAAAGGAAATATCTTCCCCTGAAAACTAGACAGAAGCATTCTCAGAAACTTATTTGTGATGTGCGCCCTCAACTAACAGTGTTGAACTTTTCTTTTGATAGAGCAGTTTTGAAACACTCTTTTTGTAAAATCTGCAAGAGGATATTTGGATAGCTTTGAGGATTTCGTTGGAAACGGGATTGTCTTCATATAAAATCTAGACAGAAGCATTCTCAGAAGCTTCATTGGGATGTTTCAATTGAAGTCACAGTGTTGAACAGTCCCTTTCATAGAGCATGTTTGAAACAATCTTTTTGTAGTATCTGGAAGTGGACATTTGGAGCGCTCTCAAGACTACGGTGAAAAAGGAAATATCTTCCAAATAAAGCTAGATAGAAGCAATGTCAGAAAATTTTTCATGATGTATCTATTCAGCTAACAGAGTTGAACCTTTCTTTTGACAGAGCAGTTTTGAAACACTCTTTTTGTGGAATCTGCAAGTGGATATTTGTCTAGCTTTGAGGATTTCGTTGGAAACGGGATTACATATAAAAAGCAGACAGCAGCATTCCCAGAAACTTCTTTGTGATATTTGCATTCAAGTCACAGACTTGAACATTCCCTTTCATAGAGCAGGTTTGAAACACTCTTTTTGTAGTATCTGGATGTGGACATTTGGAGCGCTTTCAGGCCTATGGTGAAAAAGGAAATATCTTCCCCTGAAAACTAGACAGAAGCATTCTCAGAAACTTATTTGTGATGTGCGCCCTCAACTAACAGTGTTGAAGCTTTCTTTTGATAGAGCAGTTTTGAAACACTCTTTTTGTAAAATCTGCAAGAGGATATTTGGATAGCTTTGAGGATTTCGTTGGAAACGGGATTGTCTTCATATACAATCTAGACAGAAGCATTCTCAGAAGCTTCATTGGGATGTTTCAATTGAAGTCACAGTGTTGAACAGTCCCTTTCGTAGAGCAGGTTTGAAACACTCTTTTTGTAATATCTGGAAGTGGACATTTGGAGCGTTCTCAGGACTATGGTGAAAAAGGAAATATCTTCCAATAAAAGCTAGATAGAAGCAATGTCAGAATCTTTTTCATGATGTATCTACTCAGCTAACAGAGTTGAACCTTTCTTTTGAGAGAGCCGTTTTGAAACACTCTTTTTGTGGAATCTGCAAGTGGATATTTGTCTAGCTTTGAGGATTTCGTTGGAAACGGGATTACATATAAAAAGCAGACAGCAGCATTCCCAGAAACTTCTTTGTGATGTTTGCATTCAAGTCACAGAGTTGAACATTCCCTTTCATAGAGCAGGTCTTAAACACTCTTTTTGTAGTATCTGAATGTGGACATTTGGAGCGCTTTCAGGCCTATGGTGAAAAAGGAAATATCTTCCCCTGAAAACTAGACAGAAGCATTCTCAGAATCTTATTTGTGATGTGTGCCCTCAACTAACAGTGTTGAACCTTTCTTTTGATAGAGCAGTTTTGAAACACTCTTTTTGTAATATCTGCAAGAGGATATTTGGATAGCTTTGAGGATTTCGCTGGAAACGGGATTGTCTTCATATAAACTCTAGACAGAAGCATTCTCAGAAGCTTCATTGGGATGTTTCAATTGAAGTCACAGTGTTGAACAGTCCCTTTCATAGAGCAGGTTTGAAACACTCTTTTTGTAGTATCTGCAAGTGGACATTTGGAGCGCTCTCAGGACTACGGTGAAAAAGGAAGTATCTTCCAATAAAAGCTAGATAGAAGCAATGTCAGAAACTTTTTCATTATGTATCTACTCAGCTAACAGAGTTGAACCTTTCTTTTGAGAGAGCAGTTTTGAAACCCTCTTTTTGTGGAATCTGCAAGTGGATATTTGTCTAGCTTTGAGGATTTCGTTGGAAACGGGATTACATATAAAAAGCAGACAGCAGCATTCCCAGTAACTTCTTTGTGATGGTTGCATTCAAGTCACAGAGTTGAACATTCCCTTTCATAGAGCAGGTTTGAAACACTCTTTTTGTAGTATCTGGATGTGGACATTTGGAGCGCTTTCAGGCCTATGGTGAAAAAGGAAATATCTTCTCCTGAAAACTAGACAGAAGCATTCTCAGAAACTTATTTGTGATGTGCGCCCTCAACTAACAGTGTTGAAGCTTTCTTTTGATAGAGCAGTTTTGAAACACTCTTTTTGTGGAATCTGCAAGTGGATATTTGTCTAGCTTTGAGGATTTCGTTGGAAACGGGATTACATATAAAAAGCAGACAGCAGCATTCCCAGAATCTTGTTTGCGATGTTTGCATTCAAGTCACAGAGTTGAACATTCCCTTTCAGAGAGCAGGTTTGAAACACTCTTTTTATAGTATCTGGATGTGGACATTTGGAACGCTTTCAGGCCTATGGTGAAAAAGGAAATATCTTCTCCTGTAAACTAGACAGAAGCATTCTCAGAACCTTATTTGTGATGTACGCCCTCAACTAACAGTGTTGAACCTTTCTTTTGATAGAGCAGTTTTGAAACACTCTTTTTGTAAAATCTGCAAGAGGATATTTGGATAGCTTTGAGGATTTCGTTGGAAACGGGATTGTCTTCATATAAACTCTAGACAGTAGCATTCTCAGAAGCTTCATTGGGATGTTTCAATTGAAGTCACAGTGTTGAACAGTCCCTTTCATAGAGCAGGTTTGAAACACTCTTTTTGTAGTATCTGGAAGTGGACATTTGGAGCGCTCTCAGGACTACGGTGAAAAAGGAAATATCTTCCAATAAAAGCTACATAGAAGCAATGTCAGAAACTTTTTCATGATGTATCTACTCAGCTAACAGAGTTGAACCTTTCTTTTGAGAGAGCAGTTTTGAAACACTCTTTTTGTGGAATCTGCAAGTGGATATTTGTCTAGCTTTGAGGATTTCGTTGGAAACGGGATTACATATACAAAGCAGACAGCAGCATTCCCAGAAACTTCTTTGTGATGTTTGCATTCAAGTCACAGAGTTGAACATTCCCTTTCATAGAGCAGGTCTTAAACACTCTTTTTGTAGTATCTGGATGTGGACATTTGGAGCGCTTTCAGGCCTATGGTGAAAAAGGAAATATCTTCCCCTGAAAACTAGACAGAAGCATTCTCAGAAACTTATTTGTGATGTGCGCCCTCAACTAACAGTGTTGAAGCTTTCTTTTGATAGAGCAGTTTTGAAACACTCTTTTTGTAATATCTGCAAGAGGATATTTGGATAGCTTTGAGGATTTCGTTGGAAACGGGATTGTCTTCATATAAACTCTAGACAGAAGCATTCTCAGAAGCTTCATTGGGATGTTTCAATTGAAGTCACAGTGTTGAACAGTCCCTTTCATAGAGCAGGTTTGAAACACCCTTTTTGTAGTATCTGGAAGTGGACATTTGGAGCGCTCTCAGGACTACGGTGAAAAAGGAAATATCTTCCAATAAAGGCTACATAGAAGCATTCTCAGAAACTTATTTGTGATGTGCGCCCTCAACTAACAGTGTTGAAGCTTTCTTTTGATAGAGCAGTTTTGAAACACTCTTTTTGTGGAATCTGCAAGTGGATATTTGTCTAGCTTTGAGGATTTCGTTGGAAACGGGATTACATATAAAAAGCAGACAGCAGCATTCCCAGAAACTTCTTTGTGACGTTTGCATTCAAGTCACAGAGTTGAACATTCCCTTTCATAGAGCAGGTTTGAAACACTCTTTTTGTAGTATCTGGATGTGGACATTTGGAGCGCTTTCAGGCCTATGGTGAAAAAGGAAATATCTTCCCCTGAAAACTAGACAGAAGCATTCTCAGAAACTTATTTGTGATGTGCGCCCTCAACTAACAGTGTTGAAGCTTTCTTTTGATAGAGCAGTTTTGAAACACTCTTTTTGTAATATCTGCAAGAGGATATTTGGATAGCTTTGAGGATTTCGTTGGAAACGGGATTGTCTTCATATAAACTCTAGACAGAAGCATTCTCAGAAGCTTCATTGGGATGTTTCAATTGAAGTCACAGTGTTGAACAGTCCCTTTCGTAGAGCAGGTTTGAAACACTCTTTTTGTAATATCTGGAAGTGGACATTTGGAGCGTTCTCAGGACTATGGTGAAAAAGGAAATATCTTCCAATAAAAGCTAGATAGAAGCAATGTCAGAAACTTTTTCATGATGTATCTACTCAGCTAACAGAGTTGAACCTTTCTTTTGAGAGAGCCGTTTTGAAACACTCTTTTTGTGGAATCTGCAAGTGGATATTTGTCTAGCTTTGAGGATTTCGTTGGAAACGGGATTACATATAAAAAGCAGACAGCAGCATTCCCAGAAAGCTGTTTGTGAAATTTGCATTCAAGTCACAGACTTGAACATTCCCTTTCATAGAGCAGGTTTGAAACACTCTTTTTGTAGTATCTGCATGTGGACATTTGGAGCGCTTTCAGGCCTATGGTGAAAAAGGAAATATCTTCCCCTGTAAACTAGACAGAAGCATTCTCAGAAACTTATTTCTGATGTGCGCCCTCAACTAACAGTGTTAAACCTTTCTTTTGATAGAGTAGTTTTGAAACACTCTTTGTAAAATCTGCAAGAGGATATTTTGATAGCTTTGAGGATTTCTTTGGAAACGGGATTGTCTTCATATAAAATCTAGACAGAAGCATTCTCAGAAGCTTCATTGGGATGTTTCAATTGAAGTCACAATGTTGAACAGTCCCTTTCATAGAGCAGGTTTGAAACACTCTTTTTGTAGTATCTGGATGTGGACATTTGGAGCGCTTTCAGGCCTATGGTGAAAAAGGAAATATCTTCCCCTGAAAACTAGACAGAAGCATTCTCAGAAACTTATTTGTGATGTGCGCCCTCAACTAACAGTGTTGAAGCTTTCTTTTGATAGAGCAGTTTTGAAACACTCTTTTTGTGGAATCTGGAAGTGGATATTTGTCTAGCTTTGAGTATTTCGTTGGAAACGGGATTACATATAAAAAGCAGACAGCAGCATTCTCAGAATCTTATTTGTGATGTGCGCCCTCAACTAACAGTGTTGAAGCTTTCTTTTGATAGAGTAGTTTTGAAACACTCTTTTTGTAAAATCTGCAAGAGGATATTTGGATAGCTTTGAGGATTTCGTTGGAAACGGGATTGTCTTCATATAAACTCTAGACAGAAGCATTCTCAGAAGCTTCATTGGGATGTTTCAATTGAAGTCACAGTGTTGAACAGTCCCTTTCATAGAGCAGGTTTGAAACACTCTTTTTGTAGTATCTGGAAGTGGACATTTGGAGCGCTCTCAGGACTGCGGTGAAAAAGGAAATATCTTCCAATAAAAGCTACATAGAAGCAATGTCAGAATCTTTTTCATGATGTGTCTACTCAGCTAACAGAGTTGAACCTTCCTTTGAGAGAGCAGTTTTGAAACACTCTTTTTGTGGAATCTGCAAGTGGATATTTGTCTAGCTTTGAGGATTTCGTTGGAAACGGGATTACATATAAAAAGCAGACAGCAGCATTCCCAGAAACTTCTTTGTGATATTTGCATTCAAGTCACAGAGTTGAACATTCCCTTTCATAGAGCAGGTTTGAAACACTCTTTTTGTAGTATCTGGATGTGGACATTTGGAGCGCTTTCAGGCCTATGGTGAAAACGGAAATATCTTCCCCTGAAAACTAGACAGAAGCATTCTCAGTAATCTTATTTGTGATGTGCGCCCTCAACTAACAGTGTTGAACTTTTCTTTTGATAGAGCTGTTTTGAAACACTCTTTTTGTAAAATCTGCAAGAGGATATTTGGATAGCTTTGAGGATTTCCTTTGAAACGGGATTGTCTACATATAAAATCTAGACAGAAGCATTCTCAGAAGCTTCATTGGGATGTTTCAATTGAAGTCACAGTGTTGAACAGTCCCTTTCATAGAGCAGGTTTGAAACACTCTTTTTGTAGTATCTGGATGTGGACATTTCGAGCGCTTTCAGGCCTATGGTGAAAAAGGAAATATCTTCCCCTGAAAACTAGACAGAAGCATTCTCAGAAACTTATTTGTGATGTGCGCCCTCAACTAACAGTGTTGAAGCTTTCTCTTGATAGAGCAGTTTTGAAACACTCTTTTTGTGGAATCTGCACGTGGATATTTGTCTAGCTTTGAGGATTTCGTTGGAAACGGGATTACATATAAAAAGCAGACAGCAGCATTCCCAGAATCTTCTTTGTGATGTTTGCATTCAAGTCACAGAGTTGAACATTCCCTTTCATAGAGCAGGTTTGAAACACTCTTTTTATAGTATCTGGATGTGGACATTTGGAGCGCTTTCAGGCCTATGGTGAAAAAGGAAATATATTCTCCTGAAAACTAGACAGAAGCATTCTCAGAAACTTATTTGTGATGTGCGCCCTCAACTAACAGTGTTGAAGCTTTCTTTTGATAGAGCAGTTTTGAAACACTCTTTTTGTAATATCGGCAAGAGGATATTTGGATAGCTTTGAGGATTTCGTTGGAAACGGGATTGTCTTCATATAAACTCTAGACAGAAGCATTCTCAGAAGCTTCATTGGGATGTTTCAATTGAAGTCACAGTGTTGAACAGTCCCTTTCATAGAGCAGGTTTGAAACACTCTTTTTGTAGTATCTGGAAGTGGACATCTGGAGCGCTCTCAGGACTCCCGGTGATAAAGGAAATATCTTCCAATAAAAGCTAGATAGAAGCAATGTCAGAAACTTTTTCATGATGTATCTACTCAGCTAACAGTGTTGAACCTTTCTTTTGAGAGAGCAGTTTTGAAACACTCTTTTTGTGGAATCTGCAGGTGGATATTTGTCTAGCTTTGAGGATTTCGTTGGAAACGGGATTACATATAAAAAGCAGACAGCAGTATTCCCAGAAACTTCTTTGTGATATTTGCATTGAAGTCACAGACTTGAACATTCCGTTTCATAGAGCAGGTTTGAAAAACTCTTTTTGTAGTATCTGGATGTGGACATTTGGAGCGCTTTCAGGCCTATGGTGAAAAAGGAAATATCTTCCCCTGAAAACTAGACAGAAGCATTCTCAGAAACTTATTTGTGATGTGCGCCCTCAACTAACAGTGTTGAAGCTTTCTTTTGATAGAGCAGTTTTGAAACACTCTTTTTGTAATATCTGCAATAGGATATTTGGATAGCTTTGAGGATTTCGTTGGAAACGGGATTGTCTTCATATAAACTCTAGACAGAAGCATTCTCAGAAGCTTCATTGGGATGTTTCAATTGAAGTCACAGTGTTGAACAGTCCCTTTCATAGAGCAGGTTTGAAACACTCTTTTTGTAGTATCTGGAAGTGGACATTTGGAGCGCTCTCAGGACTACGGTGAAAAAGGAAATATCTTCCAATAAAAGCTACATAGAAGCAATGTCAGAAACTTTTTCATGATGTATCTACTCAGCTAACAGAGTTGAACCTTTCTTTTGAGAGAGCAGTTTTGAAACACTCTTTTTGTGGAATCTGCAAGTGGATATTTGTCTAGCTTTGAGGATTTCGTTGGAAACGGGATTACATATAAAGAGCAGACAGCAGCATTCCCAGTAACTTCTTTGTGATGTTTGCATTCAAGTCACAGAGTTGAACATTCCCTTTCATAGAGCAGGTTTGAAACACTCTTTTTGTAGTATCTGGATGTGGACATTTGGAGCGCTTTCAGGCCTATGGTGAAAAAGGAAATATCTTCCCCTGAAAACTAGACAGAAGCATTCTCAGAAACTTATTTGTGATGTGCGCCCTCAACTAACAGTGTTGAACCTTTCTTTTGATAGAGCAGTTTTGAAACACTCTTTTTGTAATATCTGCAAGAGGATATTTGGATAGCTTTGAGGATTTCGTTGGAAACGGGATTGTCTTCATATAAACTCTAGACAGAAGCATTCTCAGAAGCTTCATTGGGATGTTTCAATTGAAGTCACAGTGTTGAACAGTCCCTTTCATAGAGCAGGTTTGAAACACTCTTTTTGTAGTATCTGGAAGTGGACATTTGGAGCGCTCTCAGGACTACGATGATAAAGGAAATATCTTCCAATAAAAGCTAGATAGAAGCAATGTCAGAAACGTTTTCATGATGTATCTACTCAGCTAAAAGAGTTGAACCTTTCTTTTGAGAGAGCAGTTTTGAAACACCCTTTTTTTGGAATCTGCAAGTGGATATTTGTCTAGCTTTGTGGATTGCGTTGGAAACGGGATTACATATAAAAAGCAGACAGCAGCATTCCCAGAATCTTCTTTGTGATGTTTGCATTCAAGTCACAGAGTTGAACATTCCCTTTCATAGAGCAGGTTTGAAACACTCTTTTTGTAGTATCTGGATGTGTACATTTGCAGCGCTTTCAGGCCTAAGGTGAAAAAGGAAATATCTTCCCCTGAAAACTAGACAGAAGCATTCTCAGAATCTTATTTGTGATGTGCGCCCTCAACTAACAGTGTTGAAGCTTTCTTTTGATAGAGCAGTTTTGAAACACTCTTTTTGTAATATCTGCAAGAGGATATTTGGATAGCTTTGGGGATTTCGTTGGAAACGGGTTTGTCTTCATATAAATTCTAGACAGAAGCATTCTCAGAAGCTTCATTGGGATGTTTCAATTGAAGTCACAGTGTTGAACAGTTCCTTTCATAGAACAGGTTTGAAACACTCTTTTTGTAGTATCTGGAAGTGGACATTTGGAGCGCTCTCAGGACTATGGTGAAAAAGGAAATATCTTCCAATAAAAGCTACATAGAAGCAATGTCAGAAACTTTTTCATGATGTATCTACTCAGCTAACAGAGTTGAACCTTTCCTTTGAGAGAGCAGTTTTGAAACACTCTTTTTGTGGAATCTGCAAGTGGATATTTGTCTAGCTTTGAGGATTTCGTTGGAAACGGGATTACATATAAAAAGCAGACAACAGCATTCCCAGTAACTTCTTTGTGATGTTTGCATTCAAGTCACAGAGTTGAATATTCCCTTTCATAGAGCAGGTTTGAAACACTCTTTTTGTAGTATCTGGATGTGGACATTTGGAGCGCTTTCAGGCCTATGGTGAAAAAGGAAATATCTTCCCCTGAAAACTAGACAGAAGCATTCTCAGAAACTTATTTGTGATGTACGCCCTCAACTAACAGTGTTGAACCTTTCTTTTGATAGAGCAGTTTTGAAACACTCTTTTTGTAATATCTGCAAGAGGATATTTGGATAGCTTTGAGGATTTCGTTGGAAACGGGATTACATATAAAAAGCAGACAGCAGCATTCTCAGTAAACTTATTTGTGATGTGCGCCCTCAACTAACAGTGTTGAACCTTTCTTTTGATAGAGCAGTTTTGAAACACTCTTTTTGTAATATCTGCAAGAGGATATTTGGATAGCTTTGAGGATTTCGTTGGAAACGGGATTGTCTTCATATAAACTCTAGACAGAAGCATTCTCAGAAGCTTCATTGGGATGTTTCAATTGAAGTCACAGTGTTGAACAGTTCCTTTCATAGAACAGGTTTGAAACACTCATTTTGTAGTATCTGGAAGTGGACATTTGGAGCGCTCTCAGGACTATGGTGAAAAAGGAAATATCTTCCAATAAAAGCTACATAGAGGCAATGTCAGAAAATTGTTCATGATGTATCTACTCAGCTAACAGAGTTGAACCTTTCTTTTGAGAGAGCAGTTTTGAAACACTCTTTTTGTGGAATCTGCAAGTGGATATTTGTCTAGCTTTGAGGATTTCGTTGGAAACGGGATTACATATAAAAAGCAGACAGCAGCATTCCCAGGAACTTCTTTGTGATGTTTGCATTCAAGTCACAGAGTTGAATATTCCCTTTCAGAGAGCAGGTTTGAAACACTCTTTTTGTAGTATCTGGATGTGGACATTTGGAGCGCTTTCAGGCCTATGGTGAAAAAGGAAATATCTTCCCCTGAAAACTAGACAGAAGCATTCTCAGAATCTTATTTGTGATGTGCGCCCTCAACTAACAGTGTTGAAAATTTCTTTTGATAGAGCAGTTTTGAAACACTCTTTTTGTAAAATCTGCAAGAGGATATTTGGATAGCTTTGAGGATTTCGTTGGAAACGGGATTGTCTTCATATAAACTCTAGACAGAAGCATTCTCAGAAGCTTCATTGGGATGTTTCAATTGAAGTCACAGTGTTGAACAGTCCCTTTCATAGAGCAGGTTTGAAACACTCTTTTTATAGTATCTGGAAGTGGACATTTGGAGAGATCTCAGGAATAAGGTGATAAAGGAAATATCTTCCAATAAAAGCTAGATAGAAGCAATGTCAGAAACTTTTTCATGATGTATCTACTCAGCTAACAGAGTTGAACCTTTCTTTTGAGAGAGCAGTTTTGAAACACTCTTTTTGTGTAATCTGAAAGTGGATATTTGTCTAGCTTTGAGGATTTCGTTGGAAACGGGATTACATATAAAAAGCAGACAGCAGCATTCCCAGTAACTTCTTTGTGATGTTTGCATTCAAGTCACAGAGTTGAACATTCCCTTTCATAGAGCAAGTTTGAAACACTCTTTTTGTAGTATCTGGATGTGGACATTTGGAGCGCTTTCAGGCCTACGGTGAAAAAGGAAATATCTTCCCCTGAAAACTAGACAGAAGCATTCTCAGAAACTTATTTGTGATGTGCGCCCTCAACTAACAGTGTTGAACCTTTCTTTTGATAGAGCAGTTTTGAAACACACTTTTTGTAAAATCTGCAAGACGATATTTGCATAGCTTTGACGATTTCGTTGGAAACGGGATTGTACTTCATATAAAATCTAGACAGAAGCATTCTCAGAAGCTTCATTGGGATGTTTCAATTGAAGTCACAGTGTTGAACAGTCCCTTTCATAGAGCAGGTTTGAAACACTCTTTTTGTAGTATCTGGAAGTGGACATTTGGAGCGCTCTCAGGACTGCGGTGAAAAAGGAAATATCTTCCAATAAAAGCTAGATAGAAGCAATGTCAGAAACTTTTTCATGATGTATCTACTCAGCTAACAGAGTTGAACCTTTCTTTTGAGAGAGCAGTTTTGAAACACTCTTTTTGTGTAATCTGAAAGTGGATATTTGTCTAGCTTTGAGGATTTCGTTGGAAACGGGATTACATATAAAAAGCAGACAGCAGCATTCCCAGTAACTTCTTTGTGATGTTTGCATTCAAGTCACAGAGTTGAACATTCCCTTTCATAGAGCAGGTTTGAAACACTCTTTTTGTAGTATCTGGATGTGGACATTTGGAGCGCTTTCAGGCCTATTGTGAAAAAGGAAATATCTTCCCCTGAAAACTAGACAGAAGAATTCTCAGAATCTTATTTGTGATGTGCGCCCTCAACTAACAGTGTTGAAGCTTTCTTTTGATAGAGCAGTTTTGAAACACTCTTTTTGTAAAATCTGCAAGAGGATATTTGGATAGCTTTGAGGATTTCGTTGGAAACGGGATTGTCTTCATATAAACTCTAGACAGAAGCATTCTCAGAAGCTTCATTGGGATGTTTCAATTGAAGTCACAGTGTTGAACAGTCCCTCTCATAGAGCAGGTTTGAAACACTCTTTTTGTAGTATCTGGATGTGGACATTTGGAGCGCTTTCAGGCCTATGGTTTAAAAGGAAATATCTTCCCCTGAAAACTAGACAGAAAGCATTCTCAGAAACTTATTTGTGATGTGCGCCTTCAACTAACAGTGTTGAAGCATTCTTTTGATAGAGCAGTTTTGAAACACTCTTTTTGTGGAATCTGCAAGTGGATATTTGTCTAGCTTTGAGGATTTCGTTGGAAACGGGATTACATATAAAAAGCAGACAGCAGCATTCTCAGAAACTTATTTGTGATGTGCGCCCTCAACTAACAGTGTTGAAGCTTTATTTTGATAGAGCAGTTTTGAAACACTCTTTTTGTAATATCTGCAAGAGAATATTTGGATAGCTTTGAGGATTTCGTTGGAAACGGGATTGTCTTCATATAAACTCTAGAAAGAAGCATTCTCAGAAGCTTCATTGGGATGTTTCAATTGAAGTCACAGTGTTGAACAGTCCCTTTCATAGAGCAGGTTTGAAACACTCATTTTGTAGTATCTGGAAGTGGACATTTGGAGCGTTCTCAGGACTACAGTGAAAAAGGAAATATCTTCCAATAAAAGCTAGATAGAAGCAATGTCAGAAACTTTTTCATGATGTATCTACTCAGCTAACAGAGTTGAACCTTTCCTTTGAGAGAGCAGTTTTGAAACACTCTTTTTGTGGAATCTGCAAGTGGATATTTGTCTAGCTTTGAGGATTTCGTTTGAAACGGGATTACATATAAAAAGCAGACAGCAGCATTCCCAGAAACTTCTTTGTGATATTTGCATTCAAGTCACAGACTTGAACATTCCCTTCCATAGAGCGGGTTTGAAACACTCTTTTTGTAGTATCTGGATGTGGACATTTGGAGCGCTTTCAGGCCTATGGTGAAAAAGGAAATATCTTCCCCTGAAAACTAGACAGAAGCATTCTCAGAATCTTATTTGTGATGTGCGCCCTCAACTAACAGTGTTGAAGCTTTCTTTTGATAGAGCAGTTTTGAAACACTCTTTTTGTAAAATCTGCAAGAGGATATTTGGATAGCTTTGAGGATTTCGTTGGAAACGGGATTGTCTTCATATAAAATCTAGACAGAAGCATTCTCAGAAGCTTCATTGGGATGTTTCAATTGAAGTCACAGTGTTGAACAGTCCCTTTCATAGAGCAGGTTTGAAACACTCTTTTTGTAGTATCTGGAAGTGGACATTTGGAGCGCTCTCAGGACTACGGTGAAAAAGGAAATATCTTCCAAATAAAGCTAGATAGAAGCAATGTCAGAAACTTTTTCATGATGTATCTACTCAGCTAACAGAGTTGAACCTTTTTTTTCAGAGAGCAGTTTTGAAACACTCTTTTTGTTGGATCGGCAGGTGGATATTTGTCTAGCTTTGAGGATTTTGTTGGAAACGGGATTACATATAAAAAGCAGACAGCAGCATTCAAAGAAACTTCTTTGTGATGTTTGCATTCAAGTCACAGAGTTGAACATTCCCTTTCATAGAGCAGGTTTGAAACACTCTTTTTGTAGTATCTGGATGTGGACATTTGGAGCGCTCTCAGGCCTATGGTGAAAAAGGAAATATCTTCCCCTGAAAACTAGACAGAAGCATTCTCAGAAACTTATTTGTGATGTGCGCCCTCAACTAACGGTGTTGAAGCTTTCTTTTGATAGAGCAGTTTTGAAACACTCTTTTTGTAAAATCTGCAAGAGGATATTTGGATAGCTTTGAGGATTTCGTTGGAAACGGGATTGTCTTCATATAGAATCTAGACAGAAGCATTCTCAGAAGCTTCATTGGGATGTTTCAATTGAAGTCACAGTGTTGAACAGTCCCTTTCATAGAGCAGGTTTGAAACACTCTTTTTGTAGTATCTGGAGGTGGACATTTGGAGCGTTCTCAGGACTACAGTGGAAAAGGAAATATCTTCCAGTAAAAGCTAGATAGAAGCAATGTCAGAAAATTTTTCATGATGTATCTACTCAGCTAACAGAGTTGAACCTTTCTTTTGAGAGAGCAGTTTTGAAACACTCTTTTTGTGGAATCTGCAAGTGGATATTTGTCTAGGTTTGAGGATTGCGTTTGAAACGGGATTACATATAAAAAGCAGACAGCAGCATTCCCAGAAACTTCTTTGTGATGTTTGCATTCAAGTCACAGAGTTGAACATTCCCTTTCATAGAGCAGGTTTGAAACACTCTTTTTGTAGTATCTGGAAGTGGACATTTGGAGCGCTCTCAGGACTACGGTGAAAAAGGAAATATCTTCCAATAAAAGCTAGATAGAAGCAAAGTCAGAAACTTTTTAATGATCTATCTACTCAGCTAACAGAGTTGAACCTTTCTTTTGAGAGAGCAGTTTTGAAACACTCTTTTGGTGGAATCTGCAAGTGGATATTTGTCTAGCTTTGAGGATTGCGTTGGAAACGGGATTACATATAAAAAGCAGACAGCAGCATTCCCAGAAACTTCTTTGTGATGTTTGCATTCAAGTCACAGAGTTGAACATTCCCTTTCATAGAGCAGGTTGGAAACACTCTTTTTGTAGTATCTGGATGTGGACATTTGGAGCGCTTTCAGGCCTATGGTGAAAAAGGAAATATCTTCCCCTGAAAACTAGACAGAAGCATTCTCAGAAACTTATTTGTGATGTGCGCCCTCAACTAACAGTGTTGAAGCTTTCTTTTGATAGAGCAGTTTTGAAACACTCTTTTTGTAATATCTGCAAGAGGATATTTGGATAGCTTTGAGGATTTCGTTGGAAACGGGATTGTCTTCATATAAACCCTAGACAGAAGCATTCTCAGAAGCTTCATTGGGATGTTTCAATTGAAGTCACAGTGTTGAACAGTCCCTTTCATAAAGCAGGTTTCAAACACTCTTTTTGTAGTATCTGGATGTGGACATTTGGAGCGCTTTCAGGCCTATGGTTTAAAAGGAAATATCTTCCCCTGAAAACTAGACAGAAGCATTCTCAGAAACTTATTTGTGATGTGCGCCCTCAACTCACAGTGTTGAAGCATTCTTTTGATAGAGCAGTTTTGAAACACTCTTTTTGTGGAATCTGCAAGTGGATATTTGTCTAGCTTTGAGGATTTCGTTGGAAACGGGATTACATATGAAAAGCAGACAGCAGCATTCCCAGAAACTTCTTTGTGATGTTTGCATTCAACTCACAGAGTTGAACATTCCCTTTCATAGAGCAGGTTTGAAACACTCTTTTTGTAGTATCTGGATGTGGACATTTGGAGCGCTTTCAGGCCTATGGTGAAAAAGGAAATATCTTCCCCTGAAAACTAGACAGAAGCATTCTCAGAAACTTATTTGTGATGTGCGCCCTCAACTAACAGTGTTGAAGCTTTCTTTTGATAGAGCAGTTTTGAAACACTCTTTTTGTAATATCTGCAAGAGGATATTTGGATAGCTTTGAGGATTTCGTTGGAAACGGGATTAATTATAAAAAGCAGACAGCAGCATTCCCAGAATCTTGTTTGTGATGTTTGCATTCAAGTGACAGAGTTGAACATTCCCTTTCAGAGAGCAGGTTTGAAACACTCTTTTTATAGTATCTGGATGTGGACATTTGGAGCGCTTTCAGGCCTATGGTGAAAAAGGAAATATCTTCTCCTGAAAACTAGACAGAAGCATTCTCAGAAACTTATTTGTGATGGTGCGCCCTCAACTAACAGTGTTGAAGCTTTCTTTTCATAGAGCAGTTTTGAAACACTCTTTTTGTAAAATCTGCAAGAGGATATTTGGATAGCTTTGAGGATTTCGTTGGAAACGGGATTGTCTTCATATAAAATCTAGACAGAAGCATTCTCAGAAGCTTCATTGGGATGTTTCAATTGAAGTCACAGTGTTGAACAGTCCCTTTCATAGAGCAGGTTTGAAACAATCTTTTTGTAGTATCTGGAAGTGGACATTTGGAGAGATCTCAGGAATACGGTGATAAAGGAAATATCTTCCAATAAAAGCTAGATAGAAGCAATGTCAGAAACTTTTTCATGATGTATCTACTCAGCTAACAGAGTTGAACCTTTCTTTTGAGAGAGCAGTTTTGAAACACTCTTTTTGTGGAATCTGCAAGTGGATATTTGTCTAGCATTGAGGATTTCGTTGGAAACGGGATTACATATAAAAAGCAGACAGCAGCATTCCCAGAAACTTCTTTGTGATGTTTGCATTCAAGTCACAGAGTTGAACATTCCCTTTCATAGAGCAGGTTTGAAACACTCTTTTTGTAGTATCTGGATGTGGACATTTGGAGCGCTTTCAGACCTATGGTGAAAAAGGAAATATCTTCCCCTGAAAACTAGACAGAGGCATTCTCAGAAACTTATTTGTGATGTGCGCCCTCAACTAACAGTGTTGAACCTTTCTTTTGATAGAGCTGTTTTGAAACACTCTTTTTGTAATATCTGCAAGAGGATATTTGGATAGCTTTGAGGATTTCGTTGGAAACGGGATTGCATATAAAAAGCAGACAGCAGCATTCCCAGAAACTTCTTTGTGATGTTTGCATTCAAGTCACAGAGTTGATCATTCCCTTTCATAGAGCAGGTTTGAAACACTCTTTTTGTAGTATCTGGATGTGGACATTTGGAGCGCTTTCAGGCCTATGGTGAAAAAGGAAATATCTTCCCCTGAAAAGTAGACAGAAGCATTCTCAGAATCTTATTTGTGATGTGCACCCTCAACTAAGAGTGTTGAACCTTTCTTTTGATAGAGCAGTTTTGAAACACTCTTTTTGTAAAATCTGCAAGAGGTTATTTGGTTAGCTTTGAGGATTTCGTTGGAAACGGGATTGTCTTCATATACAATCTAGACAGAAGCATTCTCAGAAGCTTCATTGGGATGTTTCAATTGATGTCACAGAGTTGAACATTGCATTTCATAGAGCAGGTTTGAAACACTCTTTTTGTAGTATCTGGAAATGGACATTTGGAGCGCTCTCAGGACTACGGTGAAAAAGGAAATATCTTCCAATAAAAGCTAGATAGAAGCAATGTCAGAAACTTTTTCATGACGTATCTACTCAGCTAACAGAGTTGAAACTTTCCTTTGAGAGAGCAGTTTTGAAACACTCTTTTTGTGGAATCTGCAAGTGGATATTTGTCTAGCTTTGAGGATTTCGTTGGAAAGGGGATTACATATAAAAAGCAGACAGCAGCATTCCCAGAAACTTCTTTGTGACGTTTGCATTCAAGTCACAGAGTTGAACATTCCCTTTCATAGAGCAGGTTTGAAACACTCTTTTTGTAGTATCTGGATGTGGACATTTGGAGCGCTTTCAGGCCTATGGTGAAAAAGGAAATATCTTCCCCTGAAAACTAGACAGAAGCATTCTCAGAAACTTATTTGTGATGTGCGCCCTCAACTAACAGTGTTGAAGCTTTCTTTTGATAGAGCAGTTTTGAAACACTCTTTTTGTAAAATCTGCAAGAGGATATTTGGATAGCTTTGAGGATTTCGTTGGAAACGGGATTGTCTTCATATACAATCTAGACAGAAGCATTCTCAGAAGCTTCATTGGGATGTTTCAATTGAAGTCACAGTGTTGAACAGTCCCTTTCGTAGAGCAGGTTTGAAACACTCTTTTTGTAATATCTGGAAGTGGACATTTGGAGCGTTCTCAGGACTATGGTGAAAAAGGAAATATCTTCCAATAAAAGCTAGATAGAAGCAATGTCAGAAACTTTTTCATGATGTATCTACTCAGCTAACAGAGTTGAACCTTTCTTTTGTGAGAGCAGTTTTGAAACAGTCTTTTTGTTGGATCTGCAGGTGGATATTTGTCTAGCTTTGAGGATTTCGTTGGAAACGGGATTACATATAAAAAGCAGACAGCAGCATTCCCAGAAACTTCTTTGTGATGTTTGCATTCAAGTCACAGAGTTGAACATTCCCTTTCATAGAGCAGGTTTGAAACACTCTTTTTGTAGTATCTGGATGTGGACATTTGGAGCGCTCTCAGGCCTATGGTGAAAAAGGAAATATCTTCCCCTGAAAACTAGACAGAAGCATTCTCAGAAACTTATTTGTGATGTGCGCCGTCAACTAACAGTGTTGAAGCTTTCTTTTGACAGAGCAGTTTTGAAACATTCTTTTTGTAAAATCTGCAAGAGGATATTTGGATAGCTTTGAGTATTTCGTTGGAAACGGGATTGTCTTCATATAAACTCTAGACAATAGCATTCTCAGAAGCTTCATTGGGATGTTTCAATTGAAGTCACAGTGTTGAACAGTCCCTTTCATAGAGCAGGTTTGAAACACTCTTTTTGTAATATCTGGATGTGGACATTTGGAGCGCTTTCAGGCCTATGGTTTAAAAGGAAATATCTTCCCCTGAAAACTAGACAGAAGCATTCTCAGAAACTTATTTGTGATGTGCGCACTCAACAAACAGTGTTGTAGCATTCTTTTGATAGAGCAGTTTTGAAACACTCTTTTTGTGGAATCTGCAAGTGGATATTTGTCTAGCTTTCAGGATTTCGTTGGAAACGGGATTAAATATAAAAAGCAGAAAGCAGCATTCCCAGAAACTTCTTTGTGATGTTTGCATTCAAGTCACAGAGTTGAACATTCCCTTTCATAGAGCAGGTTTGAAACACTCTTTTTGTAGTATCTGGATGTGCACATTTGGAGCCCTTTCAGGCCTATGGTGAAAAAGGAAATATCTTTCCCTGAAAACTAGACAGAAGCATTCTCAGAAACTTATTTGTGATGTGCGCCCTCAACTAACAGTGTTGAACCTTTCTTTTGATAGAGTAGTTTTGAAACACTCTTTTTGTAAACCTGCAAGAGGATATTTGGATAGCTTTGAGGATTTCGTTGGAAACGGGATTGTCTTCATATAAACTCTAGACTGTAGCATTCTCAGAAGCTTCATTGGGATGTTTCAATTGAAGTCACAGTGTTGAACAGTCCCTTTCATAGAGCAGGTTTGAAACACTCTTTTTGTAGTATCTGGATGTGGACATTTGGAGCGCTTTCAGGCCTATGGTGAAAAAGGAAATATCTTCCCCTGAAAACTAGACAGAAGCATTCTCAGAAACTTATTTGTGATGTGCGCCCTCAACTAACAGTGTTGAAGCTTTCTTTTGATAGAGCAGTTTTGAAACACTCTTTTTGTGGAATCTGCAAGTGGATATTTGTCTAGCTTTGAGGATTTCGTTGGAAACGGGATTACATATAAAAAGCAGACAGCAGCATTCCCAGAAACTTCTTTGTGATGTTTGCATTCAAGTCACAGAGTTGAACATTCCCTTTCAGAGAGCAGGTTTGAAACACTCTTTTTGTAGTATCTGGATGTGGACATTTGGAGCGCTTTCAGGCCTATGGTGAAAAAGGAAATATCTTCCCCTGAAAACTAGACAGAAGAATTCTCAGAATCTTATTTGTGATGTGCGCCCTCAACTAACAGTGTTGAAGCTTTCTTTTGATAGAGCAGTTTTGAAACACTCTTTTTGTAAAATCTGCAAGAGGATATTTCGATAGCTTTGAGGATTTCATTGGAAACGGGATTGTCTTCATATAAACTCTAGACAGAAGCATTCTCAGAAGCTTCATTGGGATGTTTCAATTGAAGTCACAGTGTTGAACAGTCCCTTTCATAGAGCAGGTTTGAAACACTCTTTTTGTAGTATCTGGAAGTGGACATTTGGAACGCTCTCAGGACTGCGGTGAAAAAGGAAATATCTTCCAATAAAAGCTAGATAGAAGCAATGTCAGAAACTTTTTCATGACGTATCTACTCAGCTAACAGAGTTGAACCTTTCTTTTGAGAGAGCAGTTTTGAAACACTCTTTTTGTGGAATCTGCAAGTGGATATTTGTCTAGATTTGAGGATTTCGTTGGAAACGGGATTACATATAAAAAGCAGACAGCAGCATTCCCAAAAACTTCTTTGTGATGTTTGCATTCAAGTCCCAGAGTTGAACATTCCCTTTCATAGAGCAGGTTTGAAACACTCTTTTTGTAGTATCTGGATGTGGACATTTGGAGCGCTTTCAGGCCTCTGGTGAAAAAGGAAATATCTTCCTCTGAAAACTAGACAGAAGCAATGTCAGAAACTTTTTCATGATGTATCTACTCAGCTAACAGAGTTGAACCTTTCTTTTGAGAGAGCAGTTTTGAAACACTCTTTTTGTGGAATCTGGAAGTGGATATTTGTCTAGCTTTGAGGATTTCGTTGGAAACGGGATTACATATAAAAAGCAGACAGCAGCATTCCCAGTAACTTCTTTGTGATGTTTGCATTCAAGTCACAGAGTTGAACATTCCCTTTCATAGAGCAGGTTTGAAACACTCTTTTTGTAGTATCTGGATGTGGACATTTGGAGCGCTTTCAGGCCTATTGTGAAAAAGGAAATATCTTCCCCTGAAAACTAGACAGAAGCATTCTCAGAAACTTATTTGTGATGTGCGCCCTCAACTAACAGTGTTGAAGCTTTCTTTTGATAGAGCAGTTTTGAAACACTCTTTTTGTAAAATCTGCAAGAGGATATTTGGATAGCTTTGAGGATTTATTTGGAAACTGGATTGTCTTCATATAAACTCTAGACAGAAGCATTCTCAGAAGCTTCATTGGGATGTTTCAATTGAAGTCACAGTGTTGAACAGTCCCTTTCATAGAGCAGGTTTGAAACACTCTTTTTGTAGTATCTGGATGTGGACATTTCGAGCGCTTTCAGGCCTATGGTGAAAAAGGAAATATCTTCCCCTGAAAACTAGACAGAAGCATTCTCAGAAACTTATTTGTGATGTGCGCCCTCAACTAACAGTGTTGAAGCATTCTTTTGATAGAGCAGTTTTGAAACACTCTTTTTGTGGAATCTGCAAGTTGATATTTGTCTAGCTTTGAGGATTTCGTTGGAAACGGGATTACATATAAAAAGCAGACAGCAGCATTCCCAGTAACTTCTTTGTGATGTTTGCATTCAAGTCAGAGAGTTGAACATTCCCTTTCATAGAGCAGGTTTGAAACACTCTTTTTGAAGTATCTGGATGTGGACATTTGGAGCGCTTTCAGGCCTATGGTGAAAAAGGAAATATCTTCCCCTGAAAACTAGACAGAAGCATTCTCAGAAACTTATTTGTGATGTGCGCCCTCAACTAACAGTGTTGAAGCTTTGTTTTGATAGAGCAGTTTTGAAACACTCTTTTTGTAAAATCTGCAAGAGGATATTTGGATAGCTTTGAGGATTTCGTTGGAAACGGGATTGTCTTCATAAAAACTCTAGACAGAAGCATTCTCAGAAGCTTCATTGGGATGTTTCAATTGAAGTCACAGTGTTGAACAGTCCCTTTCATAGGGCAGGTTTGAAACACTCTTTTTGTAGTATCTGGAAGTGGACATTTGGAGCGCCCTCAGGACTGCGGTGAAAAAGGAAATATCTTCCAATAAAAGCTAGATAGAAGCAATGTCAGAAAGTTTTTCATGATGTATCTACTCAGCTAAAAGAGTTAAACCTTTCTTTTGTGAGAGCAGTTTTGAAACACTATTTTTGTGGAACCTGCAAGTGGATATTTGTCTAGCTTTGAGGATTTCGTTGGAAACGGGATTACATATAAAAAGCAGACAGCAGCATTCCCAGAAACTTCTTTGTGAAATTTGCATTCAAGTCACAGAGTTGAACATTCCCTTTCATAGAGCAGGTTTGAAACACTCTTTTTGTAGTATCTGGATGTGGACGTTTGGAGCGCTTTCAGGCCTATGGTGAAAAAGGAAATATCTTCCCCTGAAAACTATACAGAAGCATTCTCAGAAACTTATTTGTGATGTGCGCCCTCAACTAACAGTGTTGAACCTTTCTTTTGATAGAGCAGTTTTGAAACACTCTTTTTGTAATATCTGCAAGAGGATATTTGGATAGCTTTGAGGATTTCGTTGGAAACGGGATTGTCTTCATATAAACTCTAGACAGAAGCATTCTCAGAAGCTTCATTGGGATGTTTCAATTGAAGTCACAGTGTTGAACAGTCCCTTTCATAGAGCAGGTTTGAAACACTCTTTTTGTAGTATCTGGAAGTGGACATTTGGAGTGCTCTCAGGACTACGGTGAAAAACGAAATATCTTCCAATAAAAGCTAGATAGAAGCAATGTCAGAAACTTTTTCATGATGTATCTACTCAGCTAACAGAGTTGAACCTTTCTTTTGAGAGAGCAGTTTTGAAACACTCTTTTTGGGTAATCTGCAAGTGGATATTTGTCTAGCTTTGAGGAATTCGTTGGAAACGGGATTACATATAAAAAGCAGACAGCAGCATTCCCAGAAAGTTCTTTGTGAAATTTGCATTCAAGTCACAGACTTGAACATTCCCTTTCATAGAGTAGGTTTGAAACACTCTTTTTGTAGTATCTGGATGTGGACATTTGGAGCGCTTTTAGGCCTATGGTGAAAAAGGAAATATCTTCCCCTGAAAACTAGACAGAAGCATTCTCAGAAACTTATTTGTGATGTGCGCCCTCAACTAACAGTGTTGAAGCTTTCTTTTGATAGAGCAGTTTTGAAACACTCTTTTTGTAATATCTGCAAGAGGATATTTGGATAGCTTTGAGGATTTCGTTGGAAACGGGATTGTCTTCATATAAACTCTAGGCAGAAGCATTCTCAGAAGCTTCATTGGGATGTTTCAATTGAAGTCACAGTGTTGAACAGTTCCTTTCATAGAACAGGTTTGAAACACTCTTTTTGTAGTATCTGGAAGTGGACATTTGGAGCGCTCTCAGGACTACGGTGAAAATGGAAATATCTTCCAATAAAAGCTACATAGAAGCAATGTCAGAAACTTTTTCATGATGTATCTACTCAGCTAACAGAGTTGAACCTTTTCTTTGAGAGAGCAGTTTTGAAACACTCTTTTTGTGGAATCTGCAAGTGGATATTTGTCTAGCTTTGAGGATTTCGTTGGAAACGGGATTACATATAAAAAGCAGACAGCAGCATTCCCAGAAACTTCTTTGTGAAGTTTGCATTCAAGTCACAGAGTTGAACATTCCCTTTCATAGAGCAGGTTTGAAACACTCTTTTTGTAGTATCTGGATGTGGACATTTGGAGCGCTTTCAGGCCTATGGTTTAAAAGGAAATATCTTCCCCTGAAAACTAGACAGAAGCATTCTCAGAAACTTATTTGTGATGTGCTCCCTCAACTAACAGTGTTAAACCTTTCCATTGATAGAGCAGTTTTGAAACACTCTTTTTGTAAAATCTGCAAGAGGATATTTGGATAGCTTTGAGGATTTCGTTGGAAACGGGATTGTCTTCATATAAAATCTAGACAGAAGCATTCTCAGAAGCTTCATTGGGATGATTCAGTTGAAGTCACAGTGTTGGACAGTCCCTTTCATAGAGCAGGTTTGAAACACTCTTTTTGTAGTATCTGGAAGTGGACATTTGGAGTGCTCTCAGGACTGCGGTGAAAAAGGAAGTATCTTCCAATAAAAGCTACATAGAAGCAATGTCAGAAACTTTTTCGTGAAGTATCTACTCAGCTAACAGAGTTGAACCTTTCTTTTGAGAGAGCAGTTTTGAAACACTCTTTTTGTGGAATCTGCAAGTGGATATTTGTCTAGCTTTGAGGATTTCATTGGAAACGGGATTACATATAAAAAGCAGAGAGCAGCATTCCCAGAAACTTCTTTGTGATGTTTGCATTCAAGTCACAGAGTTTAACATTCCCTTTCATAGAGCAGGTTTGAAACACTCTTTTTGTAGTATCTGTATGTGGACATTTGGAGCGCTTTCAGGCCTATGGTGAAAAAGGAAATATCTTCCTCTGAAAACTAGACAGAAGCATTCTCAGAATCTTATTTGTGATGTGCGCACTCAACTAACAGTGTTGAAGCTTTCTTTTGATAGAGCAGTTTTGAAACACTCTTTTTGTAAAATCTGCAAGAGGATATTTGTATAGCTTTGAGGATTTCGTTGGAAACGGGATTGTCTTCATATAAACTCTAGACAGAAGCATTCACAGAAGCCTCATTGGGATGTTTCAATTGAAGTCACAGTGTTGAACAGTCCCTTTCATAGAGCAGGTTTGAAACACTCTTTTTGTAGTATCTGGATGTGGACATTTGGAGCGCTTTCAGGCCTATGGTGAAAAAGGAAATATCTTCCTCTGAAAACTAGACAGAAGCATTCTCAGAAACTTATTTGTGATGTGCGCCCTCAGCTAACAGTGTTGAAGCTTTCTTTTCATAGAGCAGTTTTGAAAAACTCTTTTTGTGGAATCTGCAAGTGGATATTTGTCTAGCTTTGAGGATTTCGTTGGAAACGTGATTACATATAAAAAGCAGACAGCAGCATTCCCAGAAACTTCTTTGTGATGTTTGCATTCAAGTCACAGAGTTGAACATTCCCTTTCATAGAGCAGGTTTGAAACACTCTTTTTGTAGTATCTGAATGTGGACATTTGGAGCGCTTTCAGGCCTATGGTGTAAAAGGAAATATCTTCCCCTGAAAACTAGACAGAAGCATTCTCAGAAACTTATTTGTGATGTGCGCCCTCAACTAACAGTGTTAAACCTTTCTTTTGATAGAGTAGTTTTGAAACACTCTTTTTGTAAAATCTGCAAGAGGATATTTGGATAGCTTTGAGGATTTCGTTGGAAACGGGATTGTCTTCATATAAAATCTAGACAGAAGCATTCTCAGAAGCTTCATTGGGATGTTTCAATTGAAGTCACAGTGTTGAACAGTCCCTTTCATAGAGCAGGTTTGAAACACTCTTTTTGTAGTATCTGGAAGTGGACATTTGGAGCGCTCTCAGGACTACGGTGAAAAAGGAAATATCTTCCAATAAAAGGTAGAGAGAAGCAATGTCAGAAACTTTTTCATGATGTATCTACTCAACTAAAAGAGTTGAACCTTTCTTTTGAGAGAGCCGTTTTGAAACACTCTTTTTGTGGAATTTGCAAGTGGATACTTGTCTAGCTTTGAGGATTGCGCTGGAAATGGGATTACATATAAAAAGCAGAGAGCAGCATTCCCAGAAACTTCTTTGTGATGTTTGCATTCAAGTCACAGAGTTGAACATTCCCTTTCATAGAGCAGGTTTGAAACACTCTTTTTGTAGTATCTGGATGTGGACATTTGCAGCGCTTTCAGCCCTAAGGTGAAAAAGGAAATATCTTCCCCTGAAAACTAGACAGAAGCATTCTCAGAAACTTATTTGTGATGTGCGCCCTCAACTAACAGTGTTGAAGCTTTCTTTTGATAGAGCAGTTTTGAAACACTCTTTTTGTAATATCTGCAAGAGGATATTTGGATAGCTTTGAGGATTTCGTTGGAAACGGTATTGTCTTCATATAAACTTTAGACAGAAGCATTCTCAGAAGCTTCATTGGGATGTTTCAATTGAAGTCACAGTGTTGAACAGTCCCTTTCATAGAGCAGGTTTGAAACACTCTTTTTGTAGTATCTGGAAGTGGACATTTGGAGCGCTCTCAGGACTACGGTGAAAAAGGAAATATCTTCCAATAAAAGCTACATAGAAGCAATGTCAGAATCTTTTTCATGATGTGTCTACTCAGCTAACAGAGTTGAACCTTCCTTTGAGAGAGCAGTTTTGAAACACTCTTTTTGTGGAATCTGCAAGTGGATATTTGTCTAGCTTTGAGGATTTCGTTGGAAACGGGATTACATATAAAAAGCAGACAGCAGCATTCCCAGAAACTTCTTTGTGATATTTGCATTCAAGTCACAGAGTTGAACATTCCCTTTCATAGAGCAGGTTTGAAACACTCTTTTTGTAGTATCTGGATGTGGACATTTGGAGCGCTTTCAGGCCTATGGTGAAAACGGAAATATCTTCCCCTGAAAACTAGACAGAAGCATTCTCAGAATCTTATTTGTGATGTGTGCCCTCAACTAAGAGTGTTGAACCTTTCTTTTGATAGAGCAGTTTTGAAACACTCTTTTTGTAAAATCTGCAAGAGGATATTTGGATAGCTTTGAAGATTTCGTTGGAAACGGGATTGTCTTCATATAAACTCTAGACAGAAGCATTCTCAGAAGCTTCATTGGGATGTTTCAATTGAAGTCACAGTGTTGAACAGTCCCTTTCATAGAGCAGGTTTGAAACACTCTTTTTGTAGTATCTGGATGTGGACATTTGGAGCGCTTTCAGGCCTATGGTGAAAAAGGAAATATCTTCCCCTGAAAACTAGACAGAAGCAATGTCAGAAACTTTTTCATGATGTATCCACTCAGCTAACAGAGTTGAACCTTCCTTTGAGAGAGCAGTTTTGAAACACTCTTTTTGTGGAATCTGCAAGTGGATATTTGTCTAGTTTTGAGGATTTCGTTGGAAACGGGATTACATATAAAAAGCAGACAGCAGCATTCCCAGAAACTTCTTTGTGATGTTTGCATTCAAGTCACAGAGTTCAACATTCCCTTTCATAGAGCAGGTTTGAAACACTCTTTTTGTAGTATCTGGATGTGGACATTTACAGCGCTTTCAGGCCTAAGGTGAAAAAGGAAATATCTTCCCCTGAAAACTAGACAGAAGCATTCTCAGAAACTTATTTGTGATGTGCGACCTCAACTAACAGTGTTGAACCTTTCTTTTGATAGAGCAGTTTTGAAACACTCTTTTTGTAAAATCTGCAAGAGGATATTGGGATAGCTTTGAGGATTTCGTTGGGATTGTCTTCATATAAAATCTAGACAGAAGCATTCTCAGAAGCTTCATTGGCATGTTTCAGTTGAAGTCACAGTGTTGAACAGTCCCTTTCATAGAGCAGGTTTGAAACACTCTTTTTGTAGTATCTGGAAGTGGACATTTGGAGAGATCTCAGGAATACGGTGATAAAGGAAATATCTTCCAATAAAAGCTAGATAGAAGCAATGTCAGAAACTTTTTCATGATGTATCTACTCAGCTAACAGAGTTGAACCTTCCTTTGAGAGAGCAGTTTTGAAACACTCTTTTTGTGGAATCTGCAAGTGGATATTTGTCTAGCTTTGAGGATTTCGTTGGAAATGGGATTACATATAAAAAGCAGACAGCAGCATTCCCAGAAACTTCTTTGTGATGTTTGCATTCAAGTTACAGAGTTGAACATTCCCTTTCATAGAGCAGGTTTGAAACACTCTTTTTGTAGTATCTGGATGTGGACATTTGCAGCGCTTTCAGACCTAAGGTGAAAAAGGAAATATCTTCCCCTGAAAAATAGACAGAAGTATGCTCAGAAACTTATTTGTGATGTGTGCCCTCAACTAACAGTATTGAAGCTTTCTTTTGATAGAGCAGTTTTGAAACATTCTTTTTGTAAAATCTGCAAGAGGATATTTGGATAGCTTTGAGGATTTCGTTGGAAACGGGATTGTCTTCATATTAACCCTAGACAGTAGCATTCTCAGAAGCTTCATTGGGATGTTTCAATTGAAGTCACAGTGTTGAACAGTCCCTTTCATAGAGCAGGTTTGAAACACTCTTTTTGTAGTATCTGGAAGTGGACATTTGGAGCGCTCTCAGGACTGCGGTGAAAAAGGAAATATCTTCCAATAAAAGCTAGATAGAAGCAATGTCAGAAATTTTTCATGATGTATCTACTCAGCTAACAGAGTTGAACCTTCCTTTGAGAGAGCAGTTTTGAAACACTCTTTTTGTGGAATCTGCAAGTGGATATTTGTCTAGCTTTGAGGATTTCGTTGGAAACGGGATTATATATAAAAAGCAGACAGCAGCATTCCCAGTAACTTCTTTGTGATGTTTGCATTCAAGTCACAGAGTTGAACATTCCCTTTCATAGCAGCAGGTTTGAAACACTCTTTTTGTAGTATCTGGATGTGGACATTTGGAGCGCTTTCAGGCCTATGGTGAAAAAGGAAATATCTTCCCCAGAAAACTAGACAGAAGCATTCTCAGAAACTTATTTGTGATGTGCGCCCTCAACTAACAGTGTTGAACCTTTCTTTTGATAGAGCAGTTTTGAAACACTCTTTTTGTAATATCTGCAAGAGGATATTTGGATAGCTTTGAGGATTTCGTTGGAAACGGGATTGTCTTCATATAAACTCTAGACAGAAGCATTCTCAGAAGCTTCATTGGGATGTTTCAATTGAAGTCACAGTGTTGAACAGTTCCTTTCATAGAACAGGTTTGAAACACTCTTTTTGTAGTATCTGGAAGTGGACATTTGGAGCGCTCTCAGGACTACGGTGAAAATGGAAATATCTTCCAATAAAAGCTACATAGAAGCAATGTCAGAAACTTTTTCATGATGTATCTACTCAGCTAACAGAGTTGAACCTTTCCTTTGTGAGAGCAGTTTTGAAACACTCTTTTTGTGGAATCTGCAAGTGGATATTTGCTTAGCTTTGAGGATTTCGTTGGAAACGGGATTACATATAAAAAGCAGACAGCAGCATTCCCAGAATCTTCTTTGTGATGTTTGCATTCAAGTCACAGAGTTGAACATTCCCTTTCATAGAGCAGGTTTGAAACACTCTTTTTATAGTATCTGGATGTGGACATTTGGAGCGCTTTCAGGCCTATGGTGAAAAAGGAAATATCTTCCCCTGAAAACTAGACAGAAGCATTCTCAGAATCTTATTTGTGATGTGCACCCTCAACTAACAGTGTTGAAGCTTTCTTTTGATAGAGCAGTTTTGAAACACTCTTTTTGTAAAATCTGCAAGAGGATATTTGGATAGCTTTGAGGATTTCATTGGAAACCGGATTGTCTTCATATAAACTCTAGACAGAAGCATTCTCAGAAGCTTCAGTGGGATGTTTCAATTGAAGTCATAGTGTTGAACAGTCCCTTTCATAGAGCAGGTTTGAAACACTCTTTTTGTAGTATCTGGAAGTGGACATTTGGAGAGATCTCAGGAATACGGTGATAAAGGAAATATCTTCCAATAAAAGCTAGATAGAAGCAATGTCAGAAACTTTTTCATGATGTATCTACTCAGCTAACAGAGTTGAACCTTTCTTTTGAGAGAGCAGTTTTGAAACACTCTTTTTGTGGAATCTGCAAGTGGATATTTGTCTAGCTTTGAGGATTTCGTTGGAAACGGGATTACATATAAAAAGCAGACAACAGCATTCCCAGAAACTTCTTTGTGATGTTTGCATTCAAGTCACAGAGTTGAACATTCCCTTTCATAGAGCAGGTTTGAAACACTCTTTTTGTAGTATCTGTATGTGGACATTTGGAGCGCTTTCAGGCCTATGGTGAAAAAGGAAATATCTTCCCCTGAAAACTAGACAGAAGCATTCTCAGAAACTTATTTGTGATGTGCTCCCTCAACTAACAGTGTTGAACCTTTCTTTTGATAGAGCAGTTTTGAAACACTCTTTTTGTAATATCTGCAAGAGGATATTTGGATAGCTTTGAGGATTTCGTTGGAAACGGGATTGTCTTCATATAAACTCTAGACAGAAGCATTCTCAGAAGCTTCATTGGGATGTTTCAATTGAAGTCACCGTGTTGAACAGTTCCTTTCATAGAACAGGTTTGAAACACTCTTTTTGTAGTATCTGGAAGTGGACATTTGGAGCGCTCTCAGGACTACGGTGAAAAAGGAAATATCTTCCAATAAAAGCTACATAGAAGCAATGTCAGAAACATTTTCATGATGTATCTAGTCAGCTAACAGAGTTGAACCTTTCTTTTGAGAGAGCAGTTTTGAAACACTCTTTTGGTGGAATCTGCAAGTGGATATTTGTCTAGCTTTGAGGATTTCGTTGGAAACGGGATTACATATAAAAAGCAGACAGCAGCATTCCCAGAAACTTCTTTGTGATATTTGCATTCAAGTCACGGACTTGAACATTCCCTTTCATAGAGCAGGTTTGAAACACTCTTTTTGTAGTATCTGGATGTGGACATTTGGAGCGCTTTCAGGCCTATGGTGAAAAAGGAAATATCTTCCCCTGCAAACTAGATAGAAGCATTCTCAGAAACTTATTTGTGATGTGCGCCCTCAACTAACAGTGTTGAACCTTTCTTTTGATAGAGCAGTTTTGAAACATTCTTTTTGTAAAATCTGCAAGAGCATATTTGCATAGCTTTGAGGATTTCGTTGGAAACGGGATTGTCTTCATATAGAATCTAGACAGAATCATTCTCAGAAGCTTCATTGGGATGTTTCAATTGAAGTCACAGTGTTGAACAGTCCCTTTCATAGAGCAGATTTGAAACACTCTTTTTGTAGTATCTGGAAGTGGACATTTGGAGCGTTCTCAGGACTACAGTGAAAAAGGAAATATCTTCCAATAAAAGCTAGATAGAAGCAATGTCAGAAAATTTTTCATGATGTATCTACTCAGCTAACAGAGTTGCACCTTTCTTTTGAGAGAGCAGTTTTGAAACCCTCTTTTTGTGGAATCTGCAAGTGGATATTTGTCTAGCTTTGAGGATTGCGTTGGAAACGGGATTACATATAAAAAGCAGACAGCGGCATTCCCAGAAACTTCTTTGTGATGTTTGCATTCAAGTCACAGAGTTGAACATTCCCTTTCATAGAGCAGGTTTGAAACACTCTTTTTGTAGTATCTGGATGTGGACATTTACAGCGCTTTCAGGCCTAAGGTGAAAAAGGAAATATCTTCCCCTGAAAACTAGACAGAAGCATTCTCAGAATGTTATTTGTGATGTGCGCCCTCAACTAACAGTGTTGAAGCTTTCTTTTGATAGAGCAGTTTTGAAAAACTCTTTTTGTGGAATCTGCAAGTGGATATTTGTCTAGCTTTGAGGATTTCGTTGGAAACGGGATTACATATAAAAAGCAGACAGCAGCATTCCCAGAAACTTCTTTGTGATGTTTGCATTCAAGTCACAGAGTTGAACATTCCCTTTCACAGAGCAGGTTTGAAACACTCTTTTTGTAATATCTGGATGTGGACATTTGGAGCGCTTTCAGGCCTATGGTGAAAAAGGAAATATCTTCCCCTGAAAACTAGACAGAAGCATTCTCAGAAACTTATTTGTGATGTGTGTAGTCAACTAACAGTGTTGAACCTTTCTTTTGGTAGAGCAGTTTTGAAACACTCTTTTTGTAAAATCTGCAAGAGGATATTTGGATAGCTTTGAGGATTTCGTTGGAAACGGGATTGTCTTCATATAAACTCTAGACAGAAGCATTCTCAGAAGCTTCATTGGGATGTTTCAATTGAAGTCACAGTGTTGAACAGTCCCTTTCATAGAGCAGGTTTGAAACACTCTTTTTGTAGTATCTGGATGTGGACATTTGGAGCGCTTTCAGGCCTATGGTGAAAAAGGAAATATCTTCCCCTGAAAACTAGACAGAAGCATTCTCAGAAACTTATTTGTGATGTGCGCCCTCAACTAACAGTGTTGAAGCTTTCTTTTGATAGAGCAGTTTTGAAACACTCTTTTTGTGGAATCTGCAAGTGGATATTTGTCTAGCTTTGAGGATTTCGTTGGAAACGGGATTACATATAAAAAGCAGACAGCAGCATTCCCAGAATCTTCTTTGTGATGTTTGCATTCAAGTCACAGAGTTGAACATTCCCTTTCATAGAGCAGGTTTCAAACACTCTTTTTGTAGTATCTGTATGTGGACATTTGGAGCGCTTTCAGGCCTATGGTGAAAAAGGAAATATCTTCCCCTGAAAACTAGACAGAAGCATTCTCAGAAACTTATTTGTGATGTGCGCCCTCAACTAACAGTGTTGAAGCTTTCTTTTGATAGAGCAGTTTTGAAACACTCTTTTTGTAATATCTGCAAGAGGATATTTGGATAGCTTTGAGGATTTCGTTGGAAACGGGATTGTCTTCATATAAACTCTAGACAGAAGCATTCCCAGAAGCTTCATTGGGATGTTTCAATTGAAGTCACAGTGTTGAACAGTTCCTTTCATAGAACAGGTTTGAAACACTCTTTTTGTAGTATCTGGAAGTGGACATTTGGAGCGCTCTCAGGACTAGGGTGAAAAAGGAAATATCTTCCAATAAAAGCTAGATAGAAGCAATGTCAGAAACTTTTTCATGATGTATCTACTCAGCTAACAGAGTTGAACCTTTCCTTTGAGAGAGCAGTTTTGAAACACTCTTTTTGTGGAATCTGCAAGTGGATATTTGTCTAGCTTTGAGGATTTCGTTGGAAACGGGATTACATATAAAAAGCAGACAGCAGCATTCCCAGTAACTTCTTTGTGATGTTTGCATTCAAGTCACAGAGTTGAACATTCCCTTTCATAGAGCAGGTTTGAAACACTCTTTTTGAAGTATCTGGATGTGGACATTTGGAGCGCTTTCAGGCCTATGGTGAAAAAGGAAATATCTTCCCCTGAAAACTAGACAGAAGCATTCTCAGAAACTTATTTGTGATGTGCGCCCTCAACTAACAGTGTTGAACCTTTCTTTTGATAGAGCAGTTTTGAAACACTCTTTTTGTAATATCTGCAAGAGGATATTTGGATAGCTTTGAGGATTTCGTTGGAAACGGGATTGTCTTCATATAAACTCTAGACAGAAGCATTCTCAGAAGCTTCATTGGGATGTTTCAATTGAAGTCACAGTGTTGAACAGTTCCTTTCATAGAACAGGTTTGAAACACTCTTTTTGTAGTATCTGGAAGTGGACATTTGGAGCGCTCTCAGGACTACGGTGAAAAAGGAAATATCTTCCACTAAAAGCTACATAGAAGCAATGTCAGAAACTTTTTCATGATGTATCTACTCAGCTAACAGAGTTGAACCTTTCCTTTGAGAGAGCAGTTTTGAAACACTCTTTTTGTGGAATCTGCAAGTGGATATTTGTCTAGCTTTGAGGATTTCGTTGGAAACGGGATTACATATAAAAAGCAGACAGCAGCATTCCCAGTAACTTCTTTGTGATGTTTGCATTCAAGTCACAGAGTTGAACATTCCCTTTCATAGAGCAGGTTTGAAACACTCTTTTTGTAGTATCTGGATGTGGACATTTGGAGCGCTTTCAGGCCTATGGTGAAAAAGGAAATATCTTCCCCTGAAAACTAGACAGAAGCATTCTCAGAAACTTATTTGTGATGTGCGCCCTCAACTAACAGTGTTGAACCTTTCTTTTGATAGAGCAGTTTTGAAACACTCTTTTTGTAATATCTGCAAGAGGATATTTGGATAGCTTTGAGGATTTCGTTGGAAACGGGATTGTCTTCATATAAACTCTAGACAGAAGCATTCTCAGAAGCTTCATTGGGATGTTTCAATTGAAGTCACAGTGTTGAACAGTTCCTTTCATAGAACAGGTTTGAAACACTCTTTTTGTAGTATCTGGAAGTGGACATTTGGAGCGCTCTCAGGACTACGGTGAAAAAGGAAATATCTTCCAATAAAAGCTACATAGAAGCAATGTCAGAAACTCTTTCATGATGTATCTACTCAGCTAACAGAGTTGAACCTTTCTTTTGAGAGAGCAGTTTTGAAACACTCTTTTTGTGGAATCTGCAAGTGGATATTTGTCTAGCTTTGAGGATTTCGTTGGAAACGGGATTACATATAAAAAGCAGACAGCAGCATTCCCAGAATCTTCTTTGTGATGTTTGCATTCAAGTCACAGAGTTGAACATTCCCTTTCATAGAGCAGGTTTGAAACACTCTTTTTGTAGTATCTGGATGTGGACATTTGGAGCGCTTTCAGGCCTATGGTGAAAAAGGAAATATCTTCCCCTGAAAACTAGACAGAAGTATTCTCAGAAACTTATTTGTGATGTGCGCCCTCAACTAACAGTGTTGAAGCTTTCTTTTGATAGAGCAGTTTTGCAACATTCTTTTTGTAAAATCTGCAAGAGGATATTTGGATAGCTTTGAGGATTTGGTTGGAAACGGGATTGTCTTCATATTAACCCTAGGCAGTAGCATTCTCAGAATCTTCATTGGGATGTTTCAATTGAAGTCACAGTGTTGAACAGTCCCTTTCATAGAGCAGGTTTGAAACACTCTTTTTGTAGTATCTGGAAGTGGACATTTGGAGCGCTCTCAGGACTGCGGTGAAAAAGGAAATATCTTCCAATAAAAGCTAGATAGAAGCAATGTCAGAAACTTTTTCATGATGTATCTACTCAGCTAACAGAGTTGAACCTTCATTTGAGAGAGCAGTTTTGAAACACTCGTTTTGTGGAATCTGCAAGTGGATATTTGTCTAGCTTTGAGGATTTCGTTGGAAACGGGATTACATATAAAAAGCAGACAGCAGCATTCCCAGAAACTTCTTTTTGATGTTTGCATTCAAGTCACAGAGTTGAACATTCCCTTTCATAGAGCAGGTTTGAAACACTCTTTTTGTAGTATCTGGATGTGGACATTTGCAGCGCTTTCAGGCCTATGGTGAAAAAGGAAATATCTTCCCCTGAAAACTAGACAGAAGTATTCTCAGAAACTTATTTGTGATGTGCGCCCTCAACTAACAGTGTTGAAGTTTTCTTTTGATATAGCAGTTTTGAAACATTCTTTTTGTAAAATCTGCAAGAGGATACTTGGATAGCTTTGAGGATTTCGTTGGAAACGTGATTGTCTTCATATTAACCCTAGACAGTAGCATTCTCAGAAGCTTCATTGGGATGTTTCAATTGAAGTCACAGTGTTGAACAGTCCCTTTCATAGAGCAGGTTTGAAACACTCTTTTTGTAGTATCTGGATGTGGACATTTGGAGCGCTTTCAGGCCTATGGTTTAAAAGGAAATATCTTCCCCTGAAAACTAGACAGAAGCATTCTCAGAAACTTATTTGTGATGTGCGCCCTCAACTAACAGTGTTGAAGCATTCTTTTGATAGAGCAGTTTTGAAACACTCTTTTTGTGGAATCTGCAAGTGGATGTTTGTCTAGCTTTGAGGATTTCGTTGGAAACGGGATTACATATAAAAAGCAGACAGCAGCATTCCCAGAATCTTGATTGTGATGTTTGCATTCAAGTCACAGAGTTGAACATTCCCTTTCAGAGAGCAGGTTTGAAACACTCTTTTTATAGTATCTGGATGTGGACATTTGGAGCGCTTTCAGGCCTATGGTGAAAAAGGAAATATCTTCTCCTGAAAACTAGACAGAAGCATTCTCAGAAACTTATTTGTGATGTGCGCCCTCAACTAACAGTGTTGAAGCTTTCTTTTGGTAGAGCAGTTTTGAAACACTCTTTTTGTAATATCTGCAAGAGGATATTTGGATAGCTTTGAGGATTTCGTTGGAAACGGGATTGTCTTCATATAAACTCTAGACAGAAGCATTCTCAGAAGCTTCATTGGGATGTTTCAATTGAAGTCACAGTGTTGAACAGTCCCTTTCATAGAGCAGGTTTGAACAACTCTTTTTGTAGTATCTGGAAGTGGACATTTGGAGCGTTCTCAGGACTACGGTGAAAAAGGAAATAGCTTCCAATAAAAGCTAGATAGAAGCAATGTCAGAAAATTTGTCATGATGTATCTACTCACCTAACAGATTTGAACCTTTCTTTTGAGAGAGCAGTTTTGAAACACTCTTTTTGTGGAATCTGCAAGTGGATATTTGTCTAGCTTTGAGAATTTCGATGGAAACGGGATTACATATAAAAAGCAGACAGCAGCATTCCCAGAAACTTCTTTCTGATGTTTGCATTGAAGTCACAGAGTTGAACATTCCCTTTCATAGAGCAGGTTTGAAACACTCTTTTTGTAGTATCTGGATTTGGACATTTGGAGCGCTTTCAGGCCTATGGTAAAAAAGGAAATATCTTCCCCTAAAAACTAGACAGAAGCATTCTCAGAATCTTATTTGTGATGTGCGCCCTCAACTAACAATGTTGAAGCTTTCTTTTGATAGAGCAGTTTTGAAACACTCTTTTTGTAAAATCTGCAAGAGGATATTTGGATAGCTTTGAGGATTTCATTGGAAACGGGATTGTCTTCATATAAACTCTAGACAGAAGCATTCTCAGAAGCTTCATTGGGATGTTTCAATTGAAGTCACAGTGTTGAACAGTCCCTTTCATAGAGCAGGTTTGAAACACTCCTTTTGTAGTATCTGGAAGTTGACATTTGGAGCGCTCTCAGGACTACGGTGAAAAAGGAAATATCTTCCAATAAAAGCTAGATAGAAGCAATGTCAGAAACTTTTTCATGATGTATCTACTCAGCTAACAGAGTTGAACCTTTCTTTTGAGAGAGCAGTTTTGAAACACTTTTTTGTGGAATCTGGAAGTGGATATTTCTCTAGCTTTGAGGATTTCGTTGGAAACGGGATTACATATAAAAAGCAGACAGCTGCATTCCCAGAAACTTCTTTGTGATGTTTGCATTCAAATCACAGAGTTGAACATTCACTTTCATAGAGCAGGTTTGAAACACTCTTTTTGTAGTATCTGGATGTGGACATTTGGAGCGCTTTCAGGCCTATGGTGAAAAAGGAAATATCTTCTCCTGAAAACTAGACAGAAGCATTCTCAGAAACTTATTTGTGATGTGCGCCCTCAACTAACAGTGTTGAACCTTTCTTTTGATAGAGCAGTTTTGAAATCCTCTTTTTGTAAAATCTGCAAGAGGATATTTGGATAGCTTTGAGGATTTCGTTGGAAACGGGATTGTCTTCATACAAAATCTAGACAAAAGCATTCTCAGAAGCTTCAATGGGATGTTTCAATAGAAGTCACAGTGTTGAACAGTCCCTTTCATAGAGCAGGTTTGAAACAATCTTTTTGTAGTATCTGGAAGTGGACGTTTGGAGAGTTCTCAGGAATACGGTGATAAAGGAATTATCTTCCAATAAAAGCTAGATAGAAGCAATGTCAGAAACTTTTTCATGATGTATCTACTCAGCTAACAGAGTTGAACCTTTCTTTTGAGAGAGCAGTTTTGAAACACTCTTTTTGTGGAATCTGCAAGTGGATATTTGTCTAGCTTTGAGGATTTCGTTGGAAACGGGATTACCTATAAAAAGCAGACAGCAGCATTCCCAGTAACTTCTTTGTGGTGTTTGCATTCAAGTCACAGAGTTGAACATTCCCTTTCATAGAGCAGGTTTGAAACACTCTTTTTGTAGTATCTGGATGTGGACATTTGCAGCGCTTTCAGGCCTATGGTGAAAAAGGAAATATCTTCCCCTGAAAACTAGACAGAAGCATTCTCAGAAACTTATTTGTGATGTGCGCCCTCAACTAACAGTGTTCAAGCTTTCTTTTGATAGAGCAGTTTTGAAACACTCTTTTTGTAATATCTGCAAGAGGATATTTGGATAGCTTTGAGGATTTCGTTGGAAACGGGTTTGTCTTCATATAAATTACTAGACAGAAGCATTCTCAGAAGCATCATGGGGATGTTTCAATTGAAGTCACAATGTTGAACAGTCCCTTTCATAGAGCAGGATTGAAACACTCTTTTTGTAGTATCTGGATGTGGACATTTGAGCGCTTTCAGGCCTATGGTTTAAAAGGAAATATCTTCCCCTGAAAACTAGACAGAAGCAATGTCAGAAAATTTTTCATGATGTATCTACTCAGCTAACAGAGTTGAACCTTTTTTTTGAGAGAGCAGTTTTGAAACAGTCTTTTTGTTGGATCTGCAGGTGGATATTTGTCTAGCTTTGAGGATTTCGTTGGAAACGGGATTACATATAAAAAGCAGACAGCAGCATTCCCAGAAACTTCTTTGTGATGTTTGCATTCAAGTCACAGAGTTGAACATTCCCTTTCATAGAGCAGGTTTGAAACACTCTTTTTGTAGTATCTGGATGTGGACATTTGGAGCGCTCTCAGGCCTATGGTGAAAAAGGAAATATCTTCCCCTGCAAACTAGACAGAAGCATTCTCAGAAACTTATTTGTGATGTGCGCCCTCAACTAACAATGTTGAACCTTTCTGTTGATAGAGTAGTTTTGAAACACTCTTTTTGTAAAATCTGCAAGAGGATATTTGGATAGCTTTGAGGATTTCGTTAGAAACGGGATTGTCTTCATATTAACCCTAGACAGTAGCATTCTCAGAAGGTTCATTGGGATGTTTCAATTGAAGTCACAGTGTTGAACAGTCACTTTCATAGAGCAGGTTTGAAACACTCTTTTTGTAGCATCTGGAAGTGGACATTTGGAGCGCTCTCAGGACTACGGTGAAAAAGGAAATATCTTCCAATAAAAGCTAGATAGAAGCAATGTCAGAAACTTTTTCATGATGTATCTACTCAGCTAAAAGAGTTGAAACTTTCTTTTGTGAGAGCCGTTTTGAAACACTATTTTTGTGGAATCTGCAAGTGGATATTTGTCTAGGTTTGAGGATTTCGTTGGAAACGGGATTACATATAAAAACAGACAGCAGCATTCCCAGAAACTTCTTTGTGATGTTTGCATTCAAGTCACAGAGTTGAACATTCCCTTTCATAGAGCAGGTTTGAAACACTCTTTTTGTAGTATCTGGATGTGGACATTTGCAGCGCTTTCAGGCCTATTGTGAAAAAGGAAATATCTTCCCCTGAAAACTAGACAGAAGCATTCTCAGAAACTTATTTGTGATGTGCGCCCTCAACTAACAATGTTGAACCTTTCTGTTGATAGAGTAGTTTTGAAACACTCTTTTCGTAAAATCTGCAAGAGGATATTTGGATAGCTTTGAGGATTTCGTTGGAAACGGGATTGTCTTCATATTAACCCTAGACAGCAGCATTCTCAGAAGCTTCATTGGGATGTTTCAATTGAAGTCACAGTGTTGAACAGTCCCTTTCATAGAGCAGGTTTGAAACACTCTTTTTGTAGTATCTGGAAGTGGACATTTGGAGCGCTCTCAGGACTACGGTGAAAAAGGAAATATCTTCCAATAAAAGCCAGATAGAAGCAATGTCAGAAACATTTTCATGATGTATCTACTCAGCTAACAGAGTTGAACCTTTCTTTCGAGAGAGCAGTTTTGAAACACTCTTTTTGTGGAATCTGCAAGTGGATATTTGTCTAGCTTTGAGGATTTCGTTGGAAACGCGATTACATATAAAAAGCAGACAGCAGCATTCCCAGAAACTTCTTTGTGATGTTTGCATTCAAGTCGCAGAGTTGAACATTCCCTTTCATAGAGCAGGTTTGAAACACTCTTTTTGTAGTATCTGGATGTGGACATTTGGAGCGCTTTCAGGTCTATGGTGAAAAAGGAAATATCTTCCCCTGAAAACTAGACAGAAGCATTCTCAGAATCTTATTTGTGATGTGCACCCTCAACTAACAGTGTTGAACCTTTCTTTTGATAGAGCAGTTTTGAAACACTCTTTTTGTAAAATCTGCAATAGGATATTTGGTTAGCTTTGAGGATTTCGTTGGAAACGGGATTGTCTTCATATAAACTCTAGACAGAAGCATTCTCAGAAGCTTCATTGGGATGTTTCAATTGATGTCACAGAGTTGAACATTCCATTTCATAGAGCAGGTTTGAAACACTCTTTTTGTAGTATCTGGAAATGGACGTTTGGAGCGCTCTCAGGACTACGGTGAAAAAGGAAATATCTTCCAATAAAAGCTAGATAGAAGCAATGTCAGAAACATTTTCATGATGTATCTACTCAGCTAACAGAGTTGAACCTTTCTTTTGAGAGAGCAGTTTTGAAACACTCTTTTTGTGGAATCTGCAAGTGGGTATTTGTCTAGCTTTGAGGATTTCGTTGGAAACGGGATTACATATAAAAAGCAGACAGTAGCATTCCCAGAAACTTCTTTGTGATATTTGCATTCAAGTCACAGACTTGAACATTCCCTTTCATAGAGCAGGTTTGAAACACTCTTTTTGTAGTATCTGGATGTGGACATTTGGAGCGCTTTCAGGCCTATGGTGAAAAAGGAAATATCTTCCCCTGAAAACTAGACAGAAGCATTCTCAGAAACTTATTTGTCATGTGCGCCCTCAACTAACAGTGTTGAACCTTTCTTTTGATAGAGCAGTTTTGATACACTCTTTTTGTAAAATCCGCAAGAGGATATTTGGATAGCTTTGAGGATTTCGTTGGAAACGGGATTGTCTTCATATAGAATCTAGACAGAATCATTCTCAGAAGCTTCATTGGGATGTTTCAATTGAAGTCACAGTGTTGAACAGTCCCTTTCATAGAGCAGATTTGAAACACTCTTTTTGTAGTATCTGGAAGTGGACATTTGGAGCGCTCTCAGGACTACAGTGAAAAAGGAAATATCTTCCAATAAAAGCTAGATAGAAGCAATGTCAGAAAATTTTTCATGATGTATCTACTCAGCTAACAGGGTTGAACCTTTCTTTTGAGAGAGCAGTTTTGAAACACTCTTTTTGTGGAATCTGCAAGTGGATATTTGTCTAGCTTTGAGGATTTCGTTGGAAACGGGATTACATATAAAAAGCAGACAGCAGCATTCCCGGAAACTTCTTTGTGAAGTTAGCATTCAAGTCACAGAGTTGAACATTCCCTTTCATAGAGCAGGTTTGAAACACTCTTTTTGTAGTATCTGGATATGGACATTTGGAGCGCTTTCAGGCCTATGGTGAAAAAGGAAATATCTTCCCCTGAAAACTAGACAGAAGCATTCTCAGAAACTTATTTGTGATGTGCTCCCTCAACTAACAGTGTTGAACCTTTCTTTTGATAGAGCAGTTTTGAAACACTCTTTTTGTAATATCTGCAAGAGTATATTTGGATAGCTTTGAGGATTTCGTTGGAAACGGGATTGTCTTCATATAAACTCTAGACAGAAGCATTCTCAGAAGCTTCATTGGGATGTTTCAATTGAAGTCACGGTGTTGAACAGTCCCTTTCATAGAGCAGGTTTGAAACACTCCTTTTGTAGTATCTGGAAGTGGACATTTGGAGCGCTCTCAGGACTACTGTGAAAAAGGAAATATCTTCCAATAAAAGCTAGATTGAAGCAATGTCAGAAACTTTTTCATGATGTATCTACTCAGCTAACAGAGTTGAACCTTTCTTTTGAGAGAGCAGTTTTGAAACACTCTTTTTATGGAATCTGCAAGTGGATATTTGTCTAGCTTTGAGGATTTCGTTGGAAACGGGATTACAGATAAAAAGCAGACAGCAGCATTCCCAGAAACTTCTTTGTGATGTTTGCATTCAAGTCACAGAGTTGAACATTCCCTTTTATAGAGCAGGTTTGAAACACTCTTTTTGTAGTATCTGGATGTGGACATTTGGAGCGCTTTCAGGCCTATGGTGAAAAAGGAAATATCTTCCCCTGAAAACTAGACAGAAGCATTCTCAGAAACTTATTTGTGATGTGCGCCCTCAACTAACAGTGTTGAACCTTTCTTTTGATAGAGCAGATTTGAAACACTCTTTTTGTAATATCTGCAAGAGGATATTTCGATAGCTTTGAGGATTTCTTTGGAAACGGGATTGTCTTCATATAAACTCTAGACAGAAGCATTCTCAGAAGCTTCATTGGGATGTTTCAATTGAAGTCACAGTGTTGAACAGTCCCTTTCATAGAGCAGGTTTGAAACACTCTTTTTGTAGTATCTGGAAGTGGACATTTGTAGAGATCTCAGGAATACGGTGATAAAGGAAATATCTTCCAATAAAAGCTAGATAGAAGCAATGTCAGAAACTTTTTCATGATGTATCTACTCAGCTAACAAAGTTGAACCTTCATTTGAGAGAGCAGTTTTGAAACACTCGTTTTGTGGAATCTGCAAGTGGATATTTGTCTAGCTTTGAGGATTTCGTTGGAAACGGGATTACATATAAAAAGCAGACAGCAGCATTCCCAGTAACTTCTTTGTGATGTTTGCATTCAAGTCAGAGAGTTGAACATTCCCTTTCATAGAGCAGGTTTGAAACACTCTTTTTGAAGTATCTGGTTGTGGACATTTGGAGCGCTTTCAGGCCTATGGTGAAAAAGGAAATATCTTCCCGTGAAAACTAGACAGAAGCATTCTCAGAAACTTATTTGTGATGTGCGCCCTCAACTAACAGTGTTGAAGCTTTCTTTTGATAGAGCAGTTTTGAAACACTCTTTTTGTAAAATCTGCAAGAGGATATTTGGATAGCTTTGAGGATTTCGTTGGAAACGGGATTGTCTTCATATACAATCTAGACAGAAGCATTCTCAGAAGCTTCATTGGGATGTTTCAATTGAAGTCACAGTGTTGAACAGTCCCTTTCGTAGAGCAGGTTTGAAACACTCTTTTTGTAATATCTGGAAGTGGACATTTGGAGCGTTCTCAGGACTATGGTGAAAAAGGAAATATCTTCCAATAAAAGCTAGATAGAAGCAATGTCAGAAACTTTTTCATGATGTATCTACTCAGCTAACAGAGTTGAACCTTTCTTTTGAGAGAGCCGTTTTGAAACACTCTTTTTGTGGAATCTGCAAGTGGATATTTGTCTAGCTTTGAGGATTTCGTTGGAAACGGGATTACATATAAAAAGCAGACAGCAGCATTCCCAGAAATTTCTTTGTGATGTTTGCATTCAAGTCACAGAGTTGAACATTCCCTTTCATAGAGCAGGTTTGAAACACTCTTTTTGTAGTATCTGGATGTGGACATTTGGAGCGCTTTCAGACCTATGGTGAAAAAGGAAATATCTTCCCCTGAAAACTAGACAGAAGCATTCTCAGAAACTTATTTGTGATGTGCGCCCTCAACTAACAGTGTTGAAGCTTTCTTTTGATAGAGCAGTTTTGAAACACTCTTTTTGTAAAATCTGCAAGAGGATATTTGGATAGCTTTGAGGATTTCGTTGGAAACGGGATTGTCTTCATATACAATCTAGACAGAAGCATTCTCAGAAGCTTCATTGGGATGTTTCAATTAAAGTCACAGTGTTGAACAGTCCCTTTCATAGAGCAGGTTTGAAACACTCTTTTTGTAGTATCTGGAAGTGGACATTTGGATCGCTCTCAGGACTGCGGTGAAAAAGGAAATATCTTGCAATAAAAGCTAGATAGAAGCAATGTCAGAAACTTTTTCATGATGTATCTACTCAGCTAACAGAGTTGAACCTTCCTTTGAGAGAGCAGTTTTGAAACACTCTTTTTGTGGAATCTGCAAGTGGATATTTTTCTAGCTTTGAGGATTTCGTTGGAAACGGGTTACATATAAAAAGCAGACAGCAGCATTCCCAGAAACTTCTTTGTGATGTTTGCATTCAAGTCACAGAGTTGAACATTCCCTTTCATAGAGCAGGCTTGAAACACTCTTTTTGTAGTATCTGGATGTGGACATTTGGAGCGCTTTCAGGCCTATGGTGAAAAAGGAAATATCTTCCCATGAAAACTAGACAGAAGCATTCTCAGTAATCTTATTTGTGATGTGCACCCTCAACTAACAGTGTTGAAGCTTTCTTTTGATAGAGCAGTTTTGAAACACTCTTTTCGTAAAATCTGCAAGAGGACATTTGGATAGCTTTGAGGATTTCGTTGGAAACGGGATTGTCTTCATATAAACTCTAGACAGAAGCATTCTCAGAAGCTTCATTGGGATGTTTCAATTGAAGTCACAGTGTTGAACAGTCCCTTTCATAGAGCAGGTTTGAAACACTCTTTTTGTAGTATCTGGAAGTGGACATTTGGAGCGCTCTCAGGACTGCGGTGAAAAAGGAAATATCTTCCAATAAAAGCTAGATAGAAGCAATGTCAGAAACTTTTTCATGATGTATCTACTCAGCTAACAGAGTTGAACCTTCATTTGAGAGAGCAGTTTTGAAACACTCGTTTTGTGGAATCTGCAAGTGGATATTTGTCTAGCTTTGAGGATTTCGTTGGAAACGGGATTACATATAAAAAGCAGACAGCAGCATTCCCAGAAACTTCTTTGTGATGTTTGCATTCAAGTCACAGAGTTGAACATTCCCTTTCATAGAGCAGGTTTGAAACACTCTTTTTGTAGTATCTGGATGTGGACATTTGCAGCGCTTTCAGGCCTAAGGTGAAAAAGGAAATATCTTCCCCTGAAAACTAGACAGAAGCATTCTCAGAAACTTATTTGTGATGTGCGCCCTCAACTAACAGTGTTGAAGCTTTCTTTTGATAGAGCAGTTTTGAAACACTCTTTTTGTAATATCTGCAAGAGGATATTTGGATAGCTTTGAGGATTTCGTTGGAAACGGGATTGTCTTCATATAAACTCTAGACAGAAGCATTCTCAGAAGCTTCATTGGGATGTTTCAATTGAAGTCACAGTGTTGAACAGTCCCTTTCATAGAGCAGGTTTGAAACACTCTTTTTGTAGTATCTGGAAGTGGACATTTGGAACGCTCTCAGGACTGCGGTGAAAAAGGAAATATCTTCCAATAAAAGCTAGATAGAAGCAATGTCAGAAAATTTTTCATGATGTATCTACTCAGCTAACAGAGTTGAACCTTTCTTTTGACAGAGCAGTTTTGAAACACTCTTTTTGTGGAATCTGCAAGTGGATATTTGTCTAGCTTTGAGGATTTCGTTGGAAACGGGATTACATATAAAAAGCGGACAGCAGCATTCCCAGAAACTTCTTTGTGATGTTTGCATTCAAGTCACAGAGTTGAACATTCCCTTTCATAGAGCAGGTTTGAAACACTCTTTTTGTAGTATCTGGATGTGTACATCTGCAGCACTTTCAGGCCTAAGGTGAAAAAGGAAATATCTTCCCCTGAAAACTAGACAGAAGCATTCTCAGAAACTTATTTGTGATGTGCGCCCTCAACTAACAGTGTTGAAGCTTTCTTTTGATAGAGCAGTTTTGAAACACTCTTTTTGTAATATCTGCAAGAGGATATTTGGATAGCTTTGAGGATTTCGTTGGAAACGGGATTGTCTTCATATAAACTCTAGACAGAAGCATTCTCAGAAGCTTCATTGGGATGTTTCAATTGAAGTCACAGTGTTGAACAGTCCCTTTCATACAGCAGGTTTGAAACACTCTTTTTGTAGTATCTGGAAGTGGACATTTGGAGAGATCTCAGGAATACGGTGATAAAGGAAATATCTTCCAATAAAAGCTGGATAGAAGCAATGTCAGAAACTTTTTCATGATGTATCTACTCAGCTAACAGAGTTGAACCTTTCTTTTGAGAGAGCAGTTTTGAAACACTCTTTTTGTGTAATCTGAAAGTGGATATTTGTCTAGCTTTGAGGATTTCGTTGGAAACGGGATTACATATAAAAAGCAGACAGCAGCATTCCCAGTAACTTCTTTGTGATGTTTGCATTCAAGTCACAGAGTTGAACATTCCCTTTCATAGAGCAGGTTTGAAACACTCTTTTTGTAGTATCTGGATGTGGACATTTGGAGCGCTTTCAGGCCTATGGTGAAAAAGGAAATATCTTCCCCTGAAAACTAGACAGAAGCATTCTCAGAAACTTATTTGTGATGTGCGCCCTCAACTAACAGTGTTGAAGCTTTCTTTTGCTAGAGCAGTTTTGAAACACTCTTTTTGTAAAATCTGCAAGAGGATATTTGGATTGCTTTGAGGATTTCGTTGGAAACGGGATTGTCTTCATATAAACTCTAGACAGAAGCATTCTCAGAAGCTTCATTGGGATGTTTCAATTGAAGTCACAGTGTTGAACAGTCCCTTTCATAGAGCAGGTTTGAAACACTCTTTTTGTAGTATCTGGATGTGGACATTTGGAGCGCTTTCAGGCCTATGGTTTAAAAGGAAATATCTTCCCCTGAAAACTAGACAGAAGCATTCTCAGAAACTTATTTGTGATGTGCGCCCTCAACTAACAGTGTTGTAGCATTCTTTTGATAGAGCAGTTTTGAAACACTCTTTTTGTGGAATCTGCAAGTGGATATTTGTCTAGCTTTGAGGATTTCGTTGGAAACGGGATTACATATAAAAAGCAGACAGCAGCATTCCCAGAAACTTCTTTGTGATGCTTGCATTCAAGTCACAGAGTTGAACATTCCCTTTCATAGAGCAGGTTTGAAACACTCTTTTTGTAGTATCTGGATGTGGACATTTGGAGCGCTTTCAGGCCTATAGTGAAAAAGGAAATATCTTCCCCTGAAAACTAGACAGAAGCATTCTCAGAAACTTATTTGTGATGTGCGCCCTCAACTAACAGTGTTGAAACTTTCTTTTGATAGAGCAGTTTTGAAACACTCTTTTTGTAATATCTGCAAGAGGATATTTGGATAGCTTTGAGGATTTCGTTGGAAACGGGATTGTCTTCATATAAAATCTAGACAGAAGCATTCTCAGAAGCTTCACTGGGATGTTTCAATTGAAGTCACAGTGTTGAACAGTCCCTTTCATAGAGCAGGTTTGAAACACTCTTTTTGTAGTATCTGCAAGTGGACATTTGGAGAGATCTCAGGAATACGGTGATAAAGGAAATATCTTCCAATAAAAGCTAGATAGAAGCAATGTCAGAAACTTTTTCATGATGTATCTACTCAGCTAACAGAGTTGAACCTTTTTTTTGAGAGAGCCGTTTTGAAACACTCTTTTTGTTGGATCTGCAGGTGGATATTTGTCTAGCTTTGAGGATTTCGTTGGAAACGGGATTACATATAAAAAGCAGACAGCAGCATTCCCAGAAACTTCTTTGTGAAGTTTGCATTCAAGTCACAGAGTTGAACATTCCCTTTCATAGAGCAGGTTTGAAACACTCTTTTTGTAGTATGTGTATGTGGACATTTGGAGCGCTTTCAGGCCTATGGTGAAAAAGGAAATATCTTCCCCTGAAAACTAGACAGAAGCATTCTCAGAAACTTATTTGTGATGTGCGCCCTCAACTAACAGTGTTGAACCTTTCTTTTGATAGAGCAGTTTTGAAACACTCTTTTTGTAATATCTGCAAGAGGATATTTGGATAGCTTTGAGGATTTCGTTGGAAACGGGATTGTCTTCATATAAACTCTAGACAGAAGCATTCTCAGAAGCTTCATTGGGATGTTTCAATTGAAGTCACAGTGTTGAACAGTCCCTTTCATAGAGCAGGTTTGAAACACTCTTTTTGTAGTATCTGGAAGTGGACATTTGGAGCGCTCTCAGGACTACGGTGAAAAAGGAAATATCTTCCAATAAAAGCTACATAGAAGCAATGTCAGAAACTTTTTCATGATGTATCTACTCAGCTAACAGAGTTGAACCTTTCCTTTGAGAGAGCAGTTTTGAAACACTCTTTTTGTGGAATCTGCAAGTGGATATTTGTCTAGCTTTGAGGATTTCGTTGGAAACGGGATTACATATAAAAAGCAGACAGCAGCATTCCCAGAAACTTCTTTGTGATGTTTGCATTCAAGTCACAGAGTTGAACATTCCCTTTCATAGAGCAGGTTTGAAACACTATTTTTGTAGTATCTGTATGTGGACATTTGGAGCGCTTTCAGGCCTATGGTGAAAAAGGAAATATCTTCCCCTGAAAACTAGACAGAAGCATTCTCAGAATCTTATTTGTGATGTGCGCCCTCAACTAACAGTGTTGAAGCTTTCTTTTGATAGAGCAGTTTTGAAACACTCTTTTTGTAAAATCTGCAAGAGGATATTTGGAAAACTTGGAGGATTTCATTGGAAACGGGATTGTCTTCATATAAACTCTAGACAGAAGCATTCTCAGAAGCTTCATTCGGATGTTTCAATTGAAGTCACAGTGTTGAACAGTCCCTTTCATAGAGCAGGTTTGAAACACTCTTTTTGTAGTATCTGGAAGTGGACATTTGGAGTGCTCTCAGGACTGCGGTGAAAAAGGAAATATCTTCCAATAAAAGCTAGATAGAAGCAATGTCAGAAACTTTTTCATGATGTATCTACTCATCTAACAGAGTTGAACCTTTCTTTTGAGAGAGCAGTTTTGAAACACTCTTTTTGTGGAATCTGCAAGTGGATATTTGTCTAGCTTTGAGGATTTCGTTGGAAACGGGATTACATATAAAAAGCAGACAGCCAGCATTCCCAGTAACTTCTTTGTGATGTTTGCATTCAAGTCACAGAGTTGAACATTCCCTTTCATAGAGCAGGTTTGAAACACTCTTTTTGTAGTATCTGCATGTGGACATTTGGAGCGCTTTCAGGCCTATGGTGAAAAAGGAAATATCTTCCCCTGAAAACTAGACAGAGAATTCTCAGAATCTTATTTGTGATGTGCGCCCTCAACTAACAGTGTTGAAGCTTTCTTTTGATAGAGCAGTTTTGAAACACTCTTTTTGTAAAATCTGCAAGAGGATATTTGGATAGCTTTGAGGATTTCGTTGGAAACGGGATTGTCTTCATATAAACTCTACACAGAAGCATTCTCAGAAGCGTCATTGGGATGTTTCAATTGAAGTCACAGTGTTGAACAGTCCCTTTCATAGAGCAGGTTTGAAACACTCTTTTTGTAGTATCTGGATGTGGACATTTGGAGCGCTTTCAGGCCTATGGTTTAAAAGGAAATATCTTCCCCTGAAAACTAGACAGAAGCATTCTCAGAAACTTATTTGTGATGTGCGCCCTCAACTAACAGTGTTGAAGCTTTCTTTTGATAGAGCAGTTTTGAAACACTCTTTTTGTGGAATCTGCAAGTGGATATTTGTCTAGCTTTGAGGATTTCGTTGGAAACGGGATTACATATAAAAAGCAGACAGCAGCATTCCCAGAATCTTCTTTGTGATGTTTGCATTCAAGTTCCAGAGTTGAACATTCCGTTTCATAGAGCAGGTTTGAAACACTCTTTTTATAGTATCTGGATGTGGACATTTGGAGCGCTTTCAGGCCTATGGTGAAAAAGGAAATATCTTCTCCTGAAAACAAGACAGAAGCATTCTCAGAATCTTATTTGTGATGTGCGCCCTCAGCTAAGAGTGTTGAAGCTTTCTTTTGATAGAGCAGTTTTGAAACACTCTTTTCGTAAAATCTGCAAGAGGATATTTGGATAGCTTTGAGGATTTCATTGGAAACGGGATTTTCTTCATATAAACTCAAGACAGAAGCATTCTCAGAAGCTTCATTGGGATGTTTCAATTGAAGTCACAGTGTTGAACAGTCCCTTTCATAGAGCAAGTTTGAAACACTCTTTTTTTAGTATCTGGAAGTGGACATTTGGAGTCCTCTCAGGACTACAGTGAAAAAGGAAATATCTTCCAATAAAAGCTAGATAGAAAGCAATGTCAGAAACTTTTTCATGATGTATCTACTCAGCTAAAAGAGTTGAACCTTTCTTTTGTGAGAGCAGTCTTGAAACACTATTTTTGTGGAATCTGCAAGTGGATATTTGTCTAGCTTTGAGGATTTCGTTGGAAACGAGATTACATATAAAAAGCAGACAGCAGCATTCCCAGTAACTTCTTTGTGATGTTTGCATTCAAGTCACAGAGTTGAACATTCCCTTTCATAGAGCAGTTTTGAAACACTCTTTTTGTAGTATCTGGATGTGGACATTTGGAGCGCTTTCAGGCCTATGGTGAAAAAGGAAATATCTTCCCCTGAAAACTAGACAGAAGCATTCTCAGAAACTTATTTGTGATGTGCGCCCTCAACTAACAGTGTTGAAGCTTTCTTTTGATAGAGCAGTTTTCAAACACTCTTTTTGTAAAATCTGCAAGAGGATATTTGGATAGTTTTGAGGATTTCATTGGAAACGGGATTGTCTTCATATAAACTCTAGACAGTAGCATTCTCAGAAGCTTCATTGGGATGTTTCAATTGAAGTCACAGTGTTGAACAGTCCCTTTCATAGAGCAGGTTGGAAACACTCATTTGGTAGTATCTGGAAGTGGACATTTTGAGCGCTCTCAGGACTACGGTGAAAAAGGAAATATCTTCCAATAAAAGCTAGATAGAAGCAATGTCAGAAACTTTTTCATGATGTATCTACTCAGCTAACAGAGTTGAACCTTTCATTTGAGAGAGCAGTTTTGAAACACTCTTTTTGTGGAATCTGCAAGTGGATATTTGTCTAGCTTTGAGGATTTCGTTGGAAACGGGATTACATATAAAAAGCAGACAGCAGCATTCCCAGAAACTTCTTTGTGATATTTGCATTCAAGTCACAGAGTTGAACATTCCCTTTCATAGAGCAGGTTTGAAACACTCTTTTTGTAGTATCTGGATGTGGACATTTGGAGCGCTTTCAGGCCTATGGTGAAAAAGGAAATAACTTCCCCTGAAAACTAGACAGAAGCATTCTCAGAAACTTATTTGTGATGTGCGCCCTCAACTAACAGTGTTGAAGCTTTCTTTTGATAGAGCAGTTTTGAAACACTCTTTTTGTAATATCTGCAAGAGGATATTTGGATAGCTTTGAGGATTTCGTTGGAAACGGGATTGTCTTCATATAAACTCTAGACAGAAGCATTCTCAGAAGCTTCATTGGGATGTTTCAATTGAAGTCACAGTGTTGAACAGTCCCTTTCATAGAGCAGGTTTGAAACACTCTTTTTGTAGTATCTGGATGTGGACATTTGGAGCGCTTTCAGGCCTATGGTTTAAAAGGAAATATCTTCCCCTGAAAACTAGACAGAAGCATTCTCAGAAACTTATTTGTGATGTGCGCCCTCAACTAACAGTGTTGAAGCATTCTTTTGATAGAGCAGTTTTGAAACACTCTTTTTGTGGAATCTGCAAGTGGATATTTGTCTAGCTTTGAGGATTTCGTTGGAAACGGGATTACATATAAAAAGCAGACAGCAGCATTCCCAGAAACTTCTTTGTGATGTTTGCATTCAAGTCACAGAGTTGAACATTCCCTTTCATAGAGCAGGTTTGAAACACTCTTTTTGTAGTATCTGGATGTGGACATTTGGAGCGCTTTCAGGCCTATGGTGAAAAAGGAAATATCTTTCCCTGAAAACTAGACAGAAGCATTCTCAGAAACTTATTTGTGATGTGCGCCCTCAACTAACAGTGTTGAAGCTTTCTTTTGATAGAGCAGTTTTGAAACACTCTTTTTGTAATATCTGCAAGAGGATATTTGGATAGCTTTGAGGATTTCGTTGGAAACGGGATTGTCTTCATATAAACTCTAGACAGAAGCATTCTCAGAAGCTTCATTGGGATGTTTCAATTGAAGTCACAGTGTTGAACAGTTCCTTTCATAGAACAGGTTTGAAACACTCTTTTTGTAGTATCTGGAAGTGGACATTTGGAGCGCTCTCAGGACTACGGTGATAAAGGAAATATCTTCCAATAAAAGCTAGATAGAAGCAATGTCAGAAACTTTTTCATGATGTATCTACTCAGCTAACAGAGTGGAACCTTTCTTTTGAGAGAGAAGTTTTGAAACACTCTTTTTGTGGAATCTGCAAGTGGATATTTGTCTAGCTTTGAGGATTTCGTTGGAAACGGGTTTACATATAAAAAGCAGACAGCAGCATTCCCAGAATCTTCTTTGTGATGTTTGCATTCAAGTCACAGAGTTGAACATTCCCTTTCATAGAGCAGGTTTGAAACACTCTTTTTGTAGTATCTGGATGTGGACATTTGGAGCGCTTTCAGGCCTATGGTGAAAAAGGAAATATCTTCCCCTGAAAACTAGACAGAAGCATTCTCAGAAACTTATTTGTGATGTGCGCCCTCAACTAACAGTGTTGAACCTTTCTTTTGATAGAGCAGTTTTGAAATCCACTTTTTGTAAAATCTGCAAGAGGATATTTGGATAGCTTTGAGGATTTCGTTGGAAACGGGATTGTCTTCATACAAAATCTAGACAGAAGCATTCTCAGAAGCTTCATTGGGATGTTTCAATTGAAGTCACAGTGTTGAACAGTCCCTTTCATAGAGCAGGTTTGAAACACTCTTTTTGTAGAATCTGGATGTGGACATTTGGAGCGCTTTCAGGCATAAGGTGAAAAAGGAAATATCTTCCCCTGAAAACTAGACAGAAGCATTCTCAGAAACTTATTTGTGATGTGCGCCCTCAACTAACAGTGTTGAAGCTTTCTTTTGATAGAGCAGTTTTGAAACACTCTTTTTGTGGAATCTGCAAGTGGATATTTGTCTAGCTTTGAGGATTTCGTTGGAAACGGGATTACATATAAAAAGCAGACAGCAGCATTCCCAAAATCTTGTTTGTGATGTTTGCATTCAAGTCACAGAGTTCAACATTCCCTTTTAGAGAGCAGGTTTGAAACACTCTTTTTATAGTATCTGGATGTGGACCTTTGGAGTGCTTTCAGGCCTATGGTGAAAAGGGAAATATCTTCTCCTGAAAACTAGACAGAAGCATTCTCAGAATCTTATTTGTGATGTGCGCCCTCAACTAACAGTGTTGAAGCTTTCTTCTGATAGAGCAGTTTTGAAACACTCTTTTCGTAAAATCTGCAAGAGGATATTTTGATAGCTTTGAGGATTTCGTTGGAAACGGGATTGTCTTCATATAAACTCTAGACAGAAGCATTCTCAGAAGCTTCATTGGGATGTTTCAATTGAAGTCACAGTGTTGAACAGTCCCTTTCATAGAGCATGTTTGAAACACTCTTTTTGTAGTATCTGGAAGTGGACATTGAGAGCGTTCTCAGGACTACGGTGAAAAAGGAAATATCTTCCAATAAAAGCTAGATAGAAGCAATGTCAGAAACTTTTTCATGATGTATCTACTCAGCTAACAGAGTTGAACCTTTCTTTTGAGAGAGCAGTTTTGAAACACTCTTTTTGTGGAATCTACAAGTGGATATTTGTCTAGCTTTGAGGATTTCGTTGGAAACGGGATTACATATAAAAAGCAGACAGCAGCATTCCCAGAAACTTCTTTGTGATGTTTGCATTCAAGTCACAGAGTTGAACATTCCCTTTCATAGAGCAGGTTTGAAACACTCTTTTTGTAGTATCTGGATGCGGACATTTGGAGCGCTTTCAGGCCTATGGTGAAAAAGGAAATATCTTCCCCTGAAAACTAGACAGAAGCATTCTCAGAATCTTATTTGTGATGTGCGCCCTCAACTAACAGTGTTGAAGCTTTCTTTTGATAGAGCAGTTTTGAAACACTCTTTTCGTAAAATCTGCAAGAGGATATTTGGATAGCTTTGAGGATTTCGTTGGAAACGGGATTGTCTTCATATAAACTCTAGACAGAAGCATTCTCAGAAGCTTCATTGGGATGTTTCAATTGAAGTCACAGTGTTGAACAGTCCCTTTCATAGAGCAGGTTTGAAACACTCTTTTTGTAGTATCTGGAAGTGGACATGTGGAGCGCTCTCAGGACTACGGTGATAAAGGAAATATCTTCCAATAAAAGCTAGATAGAAGCAATGTCAGAAACTTTTTCATGATGTATCTACTCAGCTAACAGAGTTGAACCTTTCTTTTGAGAGAGCAGTTTTGAAACACTCTTTTGGTGGAATCTGGAAGTGGATATTTGTCTAGCTTTGAGGATTTCGTTGGAAACGGGATTACATATAAAAAGCAGACAGCAGCATTCCCAGTAACTTCTTTGTGATGTTTGCATTCAAGTCACAGAGTTGAACATTCCCTTTCATAGAGCAGGTTTGAAACACTCTTTTTGTAGTATCTGGATGTGGACATTTGGAGCGCTTTCAGGCCTATGGTGAAAAAGGAAATATCTTCCCCAGAAAACTAGACGGAAGCATTCTCAGAATCTTATTTGTGATGTGCGCCCTCAACTAGCAGTGTTGAACCTTTCTTTTGATAGAGCAGTTTTGAAACACTCTTTTTGTAATATCTGCAAGAGGATATTTGGATAGCTTTGAGGATTTCGCTGGAAACGGGATTGTCTTCATATAAACTCTAGACAGAAGCATTCTCAGAAGCTTCATTGGGATGTTTCAATTGAAGTCACAGTGTTGAACAGTCCCTTTCATAGAGCAGGTTTGAAACACTCTTTTTGTAGTATCTGGATGTGGACATTTGGAGCGCTTTCAGGCCTATGGTGAAAAAGGAAATATCTTCCCCTGAAAACTAGACAGAAGCAATGTCAGAAACTTTTTCATGATGTATCTACTCAGCTAACAGAGTTGAACCTTTCCTTTGAGAGAGCAGTTTTCAAACACTCTTTTTGTGGAATCTGCAAGTGGATATTTGTCTAGCTTTGAGGATTTCGTTGGAAAAGGGATTACATATAAAAAGCAGACAGCAGCATTCCCAGTAACTTCTTTGTGATGTTTGCATTCAAGTCACAGAGTTGAACATTCCCTTTCAGAGAGCAGGTTTGAAACACTCTTTTTATAGTGTCTGGATGTGGACATTTGGAGTGCTTTCAGGCCTGTGGTGAAAAAGGAAATATCTTCTCCTGAAAACTAGACAGAAGCATTCTCAGAAACTTATTTGTGATGTGCGCCCTCAACTAACAGTGTTGAACCTTTCTTTTGATAGAGCAGTTTTGAAACACTCTTTTTGTAATATCTGCAAGAGGACATTTGGATAGCTTTGAGGATTTCGTTGGAAACGGGATTGTCTTCATATAAACTCTAGACAGAAGCATTCTCAGAAGCTTCATTGGGATGTTTCAGTTGAAGTCACAGTGTTGAACAGTCCCTTTCATAGAGCAGGTTTGAAACACTCTTTTTGTAGTATCTGGAAGTGGACATTTGGAGCGCTCTCAGGACTGCAGTGAAAAAGGAAATATCTTCCAATAAAAGCTAGATAGAAGCAATGTCAGAAACTTTTTCATGATGTATCTACTCAGCTAACAGAGTTGAACCTTCCTTTGAGAGAGCAGTTTTGAAACACTCTTTTTGTGGAATCTGCAAGTGGATATTTGTCTAGCTTTGAGGATTTCGTTGGAAACGGGATTACATATAAAAAGCAGACAGCGACATTCCCAGAAACTTCTTTGTGATGTTTGTATTCAAGTCACAGAGTTGAACATTCCCTTTCATAGAGCAGGTTTGAAACAATCTTTTTGTAGTATCTGGATGTGGACATTTACAGCGCTTTCAGGCCTAAGGTGAAAAAGGAAATATCTTCCCCTGAAAACTAGACAGAAGCATTCTCAGAAACTTATTTGTGATGTGCGCCCTCAACTAACAGTGTTGAAGCTTTCTTTTGATAGAGCAGTTTTGAAACACTCTTTTTGTGGAATCTGCAAGTGGATATTTGTCTAGCTTTGAGGATTTCGTTGGAAACGGGATTACATATAAAAAGCAGACAGCAGCATTCCCAGAATCTTGTTTGTGATGTTTGCATTCAAGTCACAGAGTTCAACATTCCCTTTCAGAGAGCAGGTTTGAAACACTCTTTTTATAGTATCTGGATGTGGACATTTGGAGCGCTTTCAGGCCTATGGTGAAAAAGGAAATATCTTCTCCTGAAAAATAGACAGAAGCATTCTCAGAATCTTATTTGTGATGTGCGCCCTCAACTAACAGTGTTGAAGCTTTCTTTTGATAGAGCAGTTTTGAAACACTCTTTTCGTAAAATCTGCAAGAGGATATTTTGATAGCTTTGAGGATTTCGTTGGAAACGGGATTGTCTTCATATAAACTCTAGACAGAAGCATTCTCAGAAGCTTCATTGGGATGTTTCAATTGAAGTCACAGTGTTGAACAGTCCCTTTCATAGAGCAGGTTTGAAACACTCTTTTTGTAGTATCTGCAAGTGGACATTTGGAGCGATCTCAGGACTACGGTGAAAAAGGAAATATCTTCCAATAAAAGCTACATAGAAAGCAATGTCAGAAACTTTTTCATGATGTATCTACTCAGCTAACAGAGTTGAACCTTTCTTTTGAGAGAGCAGTTTTGAAACACTCTTTTTGTGGAAACTGCAAGTGGATATTTCTCTAGCTTTGAGGATTTCGTTGGAAACGGGATTACATATAAAAAGCAGACAGCAGCATTCCCAGGAACTTCTTTGTGATGTTTCCATTCAAGTCACAGAGTTGAACATTCCCTTTCATAGAGCAGGTTTGAAACACTCTTTTTGTAGTATCTGGATGTGGACATTTGCAGCGCTTTCAGGCCTATGGTGAAAAAGGAAATATCTTCCCCTGAAAACTAGACAGAAGCATTCTCAGAATCTTATTTGTGATGTGCGCCCTCAACTAACAGTGTTGAAGCTTTCTTTTGATAGAGCAGTTTTGAAACGCTCTTTTTGTAAAATCTGCAAGAGGATATTTGGATAGCTTTGAGGATTTCGTTGGAAACGGGATTGTCTTCATATAAACTCTAGACAGAAGCATTCTCAGAAGCTTCATTGGGATGTTTCAATTGAAGTCACAGTGTTGAACAGTCCCTTTCATAGAGCAGGTTTGAAACACTCTTTTTGTAGTATCTGGAAGTGGACATTTGGAGTGCTCTCAGGACTGCGGTGAAAAAGGAAATATCTTCCAATAAAAGCTAGATAGAAGCAATGTCAGAATCTTTTTCATGATGTGTCTACTCAGCTAACAGAGTTGAACCTTCCTTTGAGAGAGCAGTTTTGAAACACTCTTTTTGTGGAATCTGCAAGTGGATATTTGTCTAGCTTTGAGGATTTCGTTGGAAACGGGATTACATATAAAAAGCAGACAGCAGCATTCCCAGAAACTTCTTTGTGATATTTGCATTCAAGTCACAGAGTTGAACATTCCCTTTCATAGAGCAGGTTTGAAACACTCTTTTTGTAGTATCTGGATGTGGACATTTGGAGCGCTTTCAGGCCTATGGTGAAAACGGAAATATCTTCCCCTGAAAACTAGACAGAAGCATTCTCAGAATCTTATTTGTGATGTGCGCCCTCAACTAACAGAGTTGAAGCTTTCTTTTGATAGAGCAGTTTTGAAACACTCTTTTTGTAAAATCTGCAAGAGGATATTTGGATAGCTTTGAGGATTTCGTTGGAAACGGGATTGTCTTCATATAAACTCTAGACAGAAGCATTCTCAGAAGCTTCATTGGGATGTTTCAATTGAAGTCACAGTGTTGAACAGTCCCTTTCATAGAGCAGGTTTGAAACACTCTTTTTGTAGTATCTGGAAGTGGACATTTGGAGCGCTCTCAGGACTGCGGTGAAAAAGGAAATATCTTCCAATAAAAGCTAGATAGAAGCAATGTCAGAAACTTTTTCATGATGTATCTACTCAGCTAACAGAGTTGAACCTTCCTTTGAGAGAGCAGTTTTGAAACACTCTTTTTGTGGAATCTGCAAGTGGATATTTGTCTAGCTTTGAGGATTTCGTTGGAAACGGGATTGTCTTCATATAAACTCTAGACAGAAGCATTCTCAGAAGCTTCATTGGGGTGTTTCAATTGAAGTCACAGTGCTGAACAGTTCCTTTCATAGAACAGGTTTGAAACACTCTTTTTGTAGTATCTGGAAGTGGACATTTGGAGCGCTCTCAGGACTATGGTGAAAAAGGAAATATCTTCCAATAAAAGCTACATAGAAGCAATGTCAGAAACTTTTTCATGATGTATCTACTCAGCTAACAGAGTTGAACCTTTCCTTTGAGAGAGCAGTTTTGAAACACTCTTTTTGTGGAATCTGCAAGTGGATATTTGTCTAGCTTTGAGGATTTCGTTGGAAACGGGATTACATATAAAAAGCAGACAGCAGCATTCCCAGAAACTTGTTTGTGATGTTTGCATTCAAGTCACAGAGTTGAACATTCCCTTTCAGAGAGCAGGTTTGAAACACTCTTTTTATAGTATCTGGATGTGGACATTTGGAGCGCTTTCAGGCCTATGGTGAAAAAGGAAATATCTTCTGCCTGAAAACTAGACAGAATCATTCTCAGAAACTTATTTGTGATGTGCGCCCTCAACTAACAGTGTTGAACCTTTCTTTTGATAGAGCAGTTTTGAAACACTCTTTTTGTAATATTTGCAAGAGGATATTTGGATAGCTTTAAGGATTTCGTTGGAAACGGGATTGTCTTCATATAAACTCTAGACAGAAGCATTCTCAGAAGCTTCATTGGGATGTTTCAATTGAAGTCACAGTGTTGAACAGTCCCTTTCATAGAGCAGGTTTGAAACACTCTTTTTATAGTATCTGGAAGTGGACATTTGGAGAGATCTCAGGAATACGGTGATAAAGGAAATATCTTCCAATAAAAGCTAGATAGAAGCAATGTGAGAAACTTTTTCATGATGTATCTACTCAGCTAAAAGAGTTGAACCTTTCTTTTGAGAGAGCAGTTTTGAAACACTCTTTTTGTGGAGTCTGCATGTGGATATTTGTCTAGCTTTGAGGATTTCGTTGGAAACGGGATTACATATAAAAAGCAGACAGCAGCATTCCCAGTAACTTCTTTGTGATGTTTGCATTCAAGTCACAGAGTTGAACATTCCCTTTCATAGAGCAGGTTTGAAACACTCTTTTTGTAGTATCTGCATGTGGACATTTGGAGCGCTTTCAGGCCTATGGTGAAAAAGGAAATATCTTCCCCAGAAAACTAGACAGAAGCATTCTCAGAAACTTATTTGTGATGTGCGCCCTCAACTAACAGTGTTGAAGCTTTCTTTTGATAGAGCAGTTTTGAAACACTCTTTTTGTAATATCTGCAAGAGGATACTTGGATAGCTTTGAGGATTTCGTTGGAAACGGGATTGTCTTCATATAAACTCTAGACAGAAGCATTCTCAGAAGCTTCATTGGGATGTTTCAATTGAAGACACAGTGTTGAACAGTCCCTTTCATAGAGCAGGTTTGAAACACTCTTTTTGTAGTATCTGGAAGTGGACATTTGGAGCGCTCTCAGGACTATGGTGATAAAGGAAATATCTTCCAATAAAAGCTAGATAGAAGCATTCTCAGAAACTTATTTGTGATGTGCGCCTTCAACTAACAGTGTTGAAGCATTCTTTTGATAGAGCAGTTTTGAAACACTCTTTTTGTGGAATCTGCAAGTGGATATTTGTCTAGCTTTGAGGATTTCGTTGGAAACGGGATTACATATAAAAAGCAGACAGCAGCATTCCCAGAATCTTCTTTGTGATGTTTGCATTCAAGTCACAGAGTTGAACATTCCCTTTCATAGAGCAGGTTTGAAACACTCTTTTTGTAGTATCTGGATGTGGACATTTGGAGCGCTTTCAGCCCTATGGTGAAAAAGGAAATATCTTCCCCTGAAAACTAGACAGAAGCATTGTCAGAAACTTATTTGTCATGTGCGCCCTCAACTAACAGTGTTAAACCTCTCTTTTGATAGAGTAGTTTTGAAACACTCTTTTTGTAAAATCTGCAAGAGGATATTTGGATAGCTTTGAGGATTTCGTTGGAAACGGGATTGTCTTCATATAAACTCTAGACAGTAGCATTCTCAGAAGCTTCATTGGGATGTTTCAATTGAAGTCACAGTGTTGAACAGTCCCTTTCATAGAGCAGGTTTGAAACACTCTTTTTGTAGTATCTGGAAGTGGACATTTGGAGCGCTCTCAGGACTACGGTGAAAAAGGAAATATCTTCCAATAAAAGCTACATAGAAGCAATGTCAGAAACTTTTTCATGATGTATCTACTCAGCTAAAAGAGTTGAACCTTTCTTTTGCGAGAGCAGTTTTGAAACACTCTTTTTGTGGAATCTGCAAGTGGATATTTGTCTAGCTTTGAGGATTTCGTTGGAAACGGGATTACATATAAAAAGCAGACAGCAGCATTCCCAGAATCTTCTTTGTGATGTTTGCATTCAAGTCACAGTGTTGAACATTCCCTTTCATAGAGCAGGTTTGAAACACTCTTTTTGTAGTATCTGGATGTGGACATTTGGAGCGCTTTCAGGCCTATGGTGAAAAAGGAAATATCTTCCACTGAAAACTAGACAGAAGCATTCTCAGAATCTTATTTGTGATGTGCGCCCTCAACTAACAGTGTTGAAGCTTTCTTTTGATAGAGCAGTTTTGAAACACTCTTTTTGTAAAATCTGCAAGAGGATATTTGGATTGCTTTGAGGATTTCGTTGGAAACGGGATTGTCTTCATATAAACTCTAGACAGAAGCATTCTCAGAAGCTTCATTGGGATGTTTCAATTGAAGTCACAGTGTTGAACAGTCCCTTTCATAGAGCAAGTTTGAAACACTCTTTTTGTAGTATCTGGAAGTGGACATTTGGAGCGCTCTCAGGACTACGGTGAAAAAGGGAGTATCTTCCAATAAAAGCTAGATAGAAGCAATATCAGAAACTTTTTCATGATGTATCTACTCAGCTAAAAGAGTTGAACCTTTCTTTTGAGAGAGCAGTTTTGAAACACTATTTTTGTGGAATCTGCAAGTGGATATTTGTCTAGTTTTGAGGATCGCGTTGGAAACGGGATTACATATAAAAAGCAGACAGCAGCATTCCCAGAAACTTCTTTGTGATGTTTGCATTCAAGTCACAGAGTTGAACATTCCCTTTCATAGAGCAGGTTTGAAACACTCTTTTTGTAGTATCTGGATGTGGACATTTGCAGCGCTTTCAGGCCTAAGGTGAAAAAGGAAATATCTTCCCCTGAAAACTAGACAGAAGCATTCTCAGAAACTTATTTGTGATGTGCGCCCTCAACTAACAGTGTTGAACCTTTCTTTTGATAGAGCAGTTTTGAAACACTCTTTTTGTAAAATCTGCAAGAGGATATTTGGATAGCTTTGAGGATTTCGTTGGAAACGGGATTGTCTTCATATAAACTCTAGACAGAAGCATTCTCAGAAGCTTCATTGGGATGTTTCAATTGAAGTCGCAGTGTTGAACAGTCCCTTTCATAGAGCAGGTTTGAAACACTCTTTTTGTAGTATCTGGATGTGGACATTTGGAGCGCTTTCAGGCCTATGGTTTAAAAGGAAATATCTTCCCCTGAAAACTAGACAGAAGCATTCTCAGAAACTTATTTGTGATGTGCGCCCTCAACTAACACTGTTGAAGCTTTCTTTTGATAGAGCAGTTTTGAAACACTCTTTTTGTGGAATCTGCAAGTGGATATTTGTCTAGCTTTGAGGATTTCGTTGGAAACGGGATTACATATAAAAAGCAGACAGCAGCATTCTCAGTAAACTTATTTGTGATGTGCGCCCTCAACTAACAGTGTTGAACCTTTCTTTTGATAGAGCAGTTTTGAAACACTCTTTTTGTAATATCTGCAAGAGGATATTTGGATAGCTTTGAGGATTTCGTTGGAAACGGGATTGTCTTCATATAAACTCTAGACAGAAGCATTCTCAGAAGCTTCATTGGGATGTTTCAATTGAAGTCACAGTGTTGAACAGTCCCTTTCATAGAGCAGGTTTGAAACACTCTTTTTGTAGTATCTGGAAGTGGACATTTGGAGAGATCTCAGGACTACGGTGAAAAAGGAAATATCTTCCAATAAAAGCTAGATAGAAGCAATGTCAGAAAATTGTTCATGATGTATCTACTCAGCTAACAGAGTTGAACCTTTCTTTTGAGACAGCAGTTTTGAAACACTCTTTTGGTGGAATCTGCAAGTGGATATTTGTCTAGCTTTGAGGATTTCGTTGGAAACGGGATTACATATAAAAAGCAGACAGCAGCATTCCCAGAAACCTCTTTGTGAAGTTTGCATTCAAGTCACAGAGTTGAACATTCCCTTTCATAGAGCAGGTTTGAAACACTCTTTTTGTAGTATCTGTATGTGGACATTTGGAGCGCTTTCAGGCCTATGGTGAAAAAGGAAATATCTTCCCCTGAAAACTAGACAGAAGCATTCTCAGAAACTTATTTGTGATGTGCGCCCTCAACTAACAGTGTTGAAGTTTTCTTTTGATAGAGCAGTTTTGAAACACTCTTTTTGTAATATCTGCAAGAGGATATTTGGATAGCTTTGAGGATTTCGTTGGAAACGGGATTGTCTTCATATAAACTCTAGACAGAAGCATTCTCAGAAGCTTCATTGGGATGTTTCAATTGAAGTCACAGTGTTGAACAGTTCCTTTCATAGAACAGGTTTGAAACACTCTTTTTGTAGTATCTGGAAGTGGACATTTGGAGCGCTCTCAGGACTAAGGTGAAAAAGGAAATATCTTCCAATAAAAGCTACATAGAAGCAATGTCAGAAACTTTTTCATGATGTATCTACTCAGCTAACAGAGTTGAACCTTTCCTTTGAGAGAGCAGTTTTGAAACACTCTTTTTGTGGAATCTGCAAGTGGATATTTGTCTAGCTTTGAGGATTTCGTTGGAAACGGGATTTCATATAAAAAGCAGACAGCAGCATTCCCAGAAACTTCTTTGTGATGTTTGCATTCAAGTCACAGAGTGGAACATTCCGTTTCATAGAGCAGGTTTGAAACACTCTTTTTGTAGTATCTGGATGTGGACATTTGCAGCGCTTTCAGGCCTAAGGTGAAAAAGGAAATATCTTCCCCTGAAAACTAGACAGAAGCATTCTCAGAAACTTATTTGTGATGTGCGCCCTCAACTAACAGTGTTGAAGCTTTCTTTTGATAGAGCAGTTTTGAAACACTCTTTTTGTAATATCTGCAAGAGGATATTTGGATAGCTTTGAGGATTTCGTTGGAAACGGGATTGTCTTCATATAAACTCTAGACAGAAGCATTCTCAGAAGCTTCATTGGGATGTTTCAATTGAAGTCACAGTGTTGAACAGTTCCTTTCATAGAACAGGTTTGAAACACTCTTTTTGTAGTATCTGGAAGTGGACATTTGGAGCGCTCTCAGGACTACGGTGAAAATGGAAATATCTTACAATAAAAGCTACATAGAAGCAATGTCAGAAACTTTTTCATGATGTATCTACTCAGCTAACAGAGTTGAACCTTTACTTTGAGAGAGCAGTTTTGAAACACTCTTTTTGTGGAATCTGCAAGTGGATATTTGTCTAGCTTTGAGGATTTCGTTGGAAACGGGATTACATATAAAAAGCAGACAGCAGCATTCCCAGAATCTTCTTTGTGATGTTTGCATTCAAGTCACAGAGTTGAACATTCCCTTTCATAGAGCAGGTTTGAAACACTCTTTTTGTAGTATCTGGATGTGGACATTTGGAGCGCTTTCAGGCCTATGGTGAAAAAGGAAATATCTTCCCCTGAAAACTAGACAGAAGCATTCTCAGAATCTTATTTGTGATGTGTGCCCTCAAATAACAGTGTTGAAGCTTTCTTTTGATAGAGCAGTTTTGAAACACTCTTTTTGTAAAATCTGCAAGAGGATATTTGGATAGCTTTGAGGATTTCGTTGGAAACGGGATTGTCTTCATAGAAACTCTAGACAGAAGCATTCTCAGAAGCTTCATTGGGATGTTTCAATTGAAGTCACAGTGTTGAACAGTCCCTTTCATAGACCAGGTTTGAAACACTCTTTTTGTAGTATCTGGAAGTGGACATTTGGAGCGCTCTCAGGACTGCGGTGAAAAAGGAAATATCTTCCAATAAAAGCTACATAGAAGCAATGTCAGAAAATTTTTCATGATGTATCTACTCAGCTAACAGAGTTGAATCTTTCATTTGAGAGAACCGTTTTGAAACACTCTTTTTGTGGAATCTGCAAGTGGATATTTGTCTAGCTTTGAGGATTTCGTTGGAAACGGGATTACATATAAAAAGCAGACAGTAGCATTCCCAGAAACTTCTTTGTGATGTTTGCATTCAAGTCACAGAGTTGAACATTCCCTTTCAGAGAGCAGGTTTGAAACACTCTTTTTGTAGTATCTGGATGTGGACATTTGGAGCGCTTTCAGGCCTATGGTGAAAAAGGAAATATCTTCCCCTGAAAACTAGACAGAAGCATTCTCAGAATCTTATTTGTGATGTGCGCCCTCAACTAACAGAGTTGAAGCTTTCTTTTGATAGAGCAGTTTTGAAACACTCTTTTTGTAAAATCTGCAAGAGGATATTTGGATAGCTTTGAGGATTTCGTTGGAAACGGGATTGTCTTCATATAAACTCTAGACAGAAGCATTCTCAGAAGCTTCATTGGGATGTTTCAATTGAAGTCACAGTGTTGAACAGTCCCTTTCATAGAGCAGGTTTGAAACACTCTTTTTGTAGTATCTGGATGTGGACATTTGGAGCGCTTTCAGGCCTATGGTGAAAAAGGAAATATCTTCCCCTGAAAACTAGACAGAAGAAATGTCAGAAACTTTTTCATGATGTATCTACTCAGCTAACAGAGTTGAACCTTTCTTTTGAGAGAGCAGTTTTGAAACTCTCTTTTTGTGGAATCTGAAAGTGGATATTTGTCTAGCTTTGAGGATTTCGTTGGAAACGGGATTACAAATAAAAAGCAGACAGCAGCATTCCCAGAAACTTCGTTGTGATGTTTGCATTCAAGTCACAGAGTTGAAAATTCCCTTTCATAGAGCAGGTTTGAAACACTCTTTTTGTAGTATCTGGATGTGGACATTTGGAGCGCTTTCAAGCCTATGGTGAAAAAGGAAATATCTTCCCCTGAAAACTAGACAGAAGCATTCTCAGAAACTTATTTGTGATGTGCGCCCTCAACTAACAGTGTTGAACCTTTCTTTTGATAGAGCAGTTTTGAAACACTCTTTTTGTAACATCTGCAAGAGGATATTTGGATAGCTTTGAGGATTTCGTTGGAAACGGGATTTTCTTCATATAAACTCTAGACAGAAGCATTCTCAGAAGCTTCATTGGGATGTTTCAATTGAAGTCACAGTGTTGAACAGTCCCTTTCATAGAGCAGGTTTGAAACACTCTTTTTGTAGTATCTGGAAGTGGACATTTGGAGCGCTCTCAGGACTACGGTGAAAAAGGAAATATCTTCCAATAAAAGCTACATAGAAGCAATGTCAGAAACTTTTTCATGATGTATCTACTCAGCTAACAGAGTTGAACCTTTCTTTTGAGAGAGCAGTTTTGAAACACTCTTTTTGTGTAATCTGAAAGTGGATATTTGTCTAGCTTTGAGGATTTCGTTGGAAACGGGATTACATATAAAAAGCAGACAGCAGCATTCCCAGTAACTTCTTTGTGATGTTTGCATTCAAGTCACAGAGTTGAACATTCCCTTTCATAGAGCAGGTTTGAAACACTCTTTTTGAAGTATCTGGATGGGGACATTTGGAGCGCTTTCAGGCCTATGGTGAAAAAGGAAATATCTTCCCCTGAAAACTAGACAGAAGCATTCTCAGAATCTTATTTGTGATGTGCGCCCTCAACTAACAGTGTTGAAGCTTTCTTTTGATAGAGCAGTTTTGAAACACTCTTTTTGTAAAATCTGCAAGAGGATATTTGGATAGCTTTGAGAATTTCATTGGAAACGGGATTGTCTTCATATAAACTCTAGACAGAAGCATTCTCAGAAGCTTCATTGGGATGTTTCAATTGAAGTCACAGTGTTGAACAGTGCCTTTCATAGAGCAGGTTTGAAACACTCTTTTTGTAGTATCTGGAAGTGGACATTTGGAGCGCTCTCAGGACTACGGTGAAAAAGGAAATATCTTCCAATAAAAGCTACATAGAAAGCAATGTCAGAAACTTTTTCATGATGTATCTACTCAGCTAACAGAGTTGAACTTTTGTTTTGAGAGAGCCGTTTTGAAACACTCTTTTTGTGGAATCTGCAAGTGGATATTTGTCTAGCTTTGATGATTTCGTTGGAAACGGGATTACATATAAAAAGCAGACAGCAGCATTCCCAGAAACTTCTTTGTGATGTTTGCATTCAAGTCACAGATTTGAACATTCCCTTTCATAGAGCAGGTTTGAAACACACTTTTTGTAGTATCTGTATGTGGACATTTGCAGCGCTTTCAGGCCTAAGGTGAAAAAGGAAATATCTTCCCCTGAAAACTAGACAGAAGCATTCTCAGAAACTTATTTGTGATGTGCTCCCTCAACTAACAGTGTTGAACCTTTCTTTTGATAGAGCAGTTTTGAAACACTCTTTTTGTAATATCTGCAAGAGGATATTTGGATAGCTTTGAGGATTTCGTTGGAAACGGGATTGTCTTCATATAAACTCTAGACAGAAGCATTCTCAGAAGCGTCATTGGGATGTTTCAATTGAAGTCACAGTGTTGAACAGTCCCTTTCATAGAGCAGGTTTGAAACACTCTTTTTGTAGTATCTGGATGTGGACATTTGGAGCGCTTTCAGGCCTATGGTGAAAAAGGAAATATCTTCCCCTGAAAACTAGACAGAAGCATTCTCAGAAACTTATTTGTGATGTGCGCCTTCAACTAACAGTGTTGAAGCATTCTTTTGATAGAGCAGTTTTGAAACACTCTTTTTGTGGAATCTGTAAGTGGATATTTGTCTAGCTTTGAGGATTTCGTTGGAAACGGGATTACATATAAAAAGCAGACAGCAGCATTCCCAGAAACTTCTTTGTGATGTTTGCATTCAAGTCACAGAGTTGAACATTCCCTTTCAGAGAGCAGGTTTGAAACACTCTTTTTGTAGTATCTGGATGTGGACATTTGCAGCGCTTTCAGGCCTAAGGTGAAAAAGGAAATATCTTCCCCTGAAAACTAGACAGAAGCATTCTCAGAAGCTACATTGGGATGTTTCAATTGAAGTCACAGTGTTGAACAGTCCCTTTCATAGAGCAGGTTTGAAACACTCTTTTTGTAGTATCTGGAAGTGGACATTTGGAGCGCTCTCAGGACTACGGTGAAAAAGGAAATATCTTCCAATAAAAGCTAGATAGAAGCAATGTCAGAAACTTTTTCATGATGTATCTACTCAGCTAACAGAGTTGAACCTTTCCTTTGAGAGAGCAGTTTTGAAACACTCTTTTTGTGGAATCTGCAAGTGGATATTTGTCTAGCTTTGAGGATTTCGTTGGAAACGGGATTACATATAAAAAGCAGACAGCAGCATTCCCAGTAACTTCTTTGTGATGTTTGCATTCAAGTCACAGAGTTGAACATTCCCTTTCATAGAGCAGGTTTGAAACACTCTTTTTGTAGTATCTGGATGTGGACATTTGGAGTGCTTTCAGGCCTATTGTGAAAAAGGAAATATCTTCCCCTGAAAACTAGACAGAAGCATTCTCAGCATCTTATTTGTGTTGTGCGCCCTCAACTAACAGTGTTGAAGCTTTCTTTTGATAGAGCAGCTTTGAAACACTCTTTTTGTAAAATCTGCAAGAGGATATTTGGATAGCTTTGAGGATTTCGTTGGAAACGGGATTGTCTTCATATAAACTCTAGACAGAAGCATTCTCAGAAGCTTCATTGGGATGTTTCAATTGAAGTCACAGTGTTGAACAGTCCCTTTCATAGAGCAGGTTTGAAACACTCTTTTTGTAGTATCTGGAAGTGGACATTTGGAGCGCTCTCAGGACTACGGTGAAAAAGGAAGTATCTTCCAATAAAAGCTAGATAGACTCAGCCTCCCAAGTAGCTGGGGCCACAGGCATGTGCTAACAGGCCCAGCTAATTTTTTTTTTTTTTTTTTTTTTTTTTGTAGAGACAGGGTCTCACTATGTTTACTAGGCTGGTCTTGAACTCCTCGGCTCAAGTGACCTGCCCCTGCCCATCTCGGCCTTCCAAAGTGTTGGGATTACAGGCGTGAGCCACCATGCCTTTCTGGTCTGTTACCTCTCTCTGTTTTTCATTTTGAGACGGATTGTGGCTCTGTCGCCCAGGCGGGGGGGCAGTGATCCCATTTCCAACCAAATCCTCAAAGCTAGACAAATATCCACTTGCAGATTCCACAAAAAGAGTGTTTCAAAACTGCTCTCTCGAAAGAAAGGTTCAACTCTGTTAGCTGAGTGGATACATCATGAAAAAGTTTCTGACATTGCTTC
>NC_000002.12:92571080-92701915 GCF_000001405.40 Homo sapiens
AGGTTTGAAACACTCTTTTTGTAGTATCTGGATGTGGACATTTGGAGCGCTTTCAGGCCTATGGTTTAAAAGGAAATATCTTCCCCTGAAAACTAGACAGAAGCATTCCCAGAAACTTCTTTGTGATGTTTGCATTCAAGTCACAGAGTTGAACATGCCCTTTCATAGAGCAGGTTTGAAACACTCTTTTTGTAGTATCTGGATGTGGACATTTGGAGCGCTTTCAGGCCTATGGTGAAAAAGGAAATATCTTCCCCTGAAAACTAGACAGAAGCATTCTCAGAAACTTATTTGTGATGTGCGCCGTCAACTAACAGTGTTAAACCTTTCTTTTGATAGAGTAGTTTTGAAACACTCTTTTTGTAAAATCTGCAAGAGGATATTTGGATAGCTTTGAGGATTTCGTTGGAAACGGGATTGTCTTCATATAATCTCTAGACAGTAGCATTCTCAGAAGCTTCATTGGGATGATTCAACTGAAGTCACAGTGTTGAACAGTCCCTTTCATAGAGCAGGTTTGAAACACTCTTTTTGTAGTATCTGGAAGTGGACATTTGGAGCGCTCTCAGGACTACGGTGAAAAAGGAAATATGTTCCAATAAAAGCTAGATAGAAGCAATGTCAGGAAACTTTTTCATGATGTATCTACTCAGCTAACAGAGTTGAACCTTTCCTTTGAGAGAGCAGTTTTGAAACACTCTTTTTGTGGAATCTGCAAGTGGATATTTGTCTAGCTTTGAGGATTTCGTTGGAAACGGGATTACATATAAAAAGCAGACAGCAGCATTCCCAGAAACTTCTTTGTGATTTTTGCATTCAAGTCACAGAGTTGAACATTCCCTTTCATAGAGCAGGTTTGAAACACTCTTTTTGTAGTATCTGGATGTGGACATTTGGAGCGCTTTCAGGCCTATGGTGAAAAAGGAAATATCTTCCCCTGAAAACTAGACAGAAGCATTCTCAGAAACTTATTTGTGATGTGCGCCCTCAACTAACAGTGTTGAAGCTTTCTTTTGATAGAGCAGTTTTCAAACACTCTTTTTGTAAAATCTGCAAGAGGATATTTGGATAGTTTTGAGGATATCGTTGGAAACGGGATTGTCTTCATATAAACTCTAGACAGTAGCATTCTCAGAAGCTTCATTGGGATGTTTCAATTGAAGTCGCAGTGTTGAACAGTCCCTTTCATATAGCAGGTTTGAAACACTCTTTTTGTAGTATCTGGAAGTGGACATTTTGAGCGCTCTCAGGACTACGGTGAAAAAGGAAATATCTTCCAATAAAAGCTAGATAGAAGCAATGTCAGAAACTTTTTCATGATGTATCTACTCAGCTAACAGAGTTGAACCTTTCTTTTGAGAGAGCAGTTTTGAAACACTCTTTTTGTGGAATCTGCAAGTGGATATTTGTCTAGCATTGAGGATTTCGTTGGAAACGGGATTACATATAAAAAGCAGACAGCAGCATTCCCAGAAACTTCTTTGTGATGTTTGCATTCAAGTCACAGAGTTGTACATTCCCTTTCATAGAGCAGGTTTGAAACACTCTTTTTGTAGTATCTGGATGTGGACATTTGGAGCGCTTTCAGGCCTATGGTGAAAGAGGAAATATCTTCCCCTGAAAACTAGACAGAAGCATTCTCAGAATCTTATTTGTGATGTGCGCCCTCAACTAACAGAGTTGAAGCTTTCTTTTGATAGAGCAGTTTTGAAACACTCTTTTTGTAAAATCTGCAAGAGGATATTTGGATAGCTTTGAGGATTTCGTTGGAAACGGGATTGTCTTCATATAAACTCTAGACAGAAGCATTCTCAGAAGCTTCATTGGGATGTTTCAATTGAAGTCACAGTGTTGAACAGTCCCTTTCATAGAGCAGGTTTGAAACACTCTTTTTGTAGTATCTGGAAGTGGACATTTGGAACGCTCTCAGGACTGCGGTGAAAAAGGAAATATCTTCCAATAAAAGCTAGATAGAAGCAATGTCAGAAACTTTTTCATGATGTATCTACTCAGCTAACAGAGTTGAACCTTTCCTTTGAGAGAGCAGTTTTGAAACACTCGTTTTGTGGAATCTGCAAGTGGATATTTGTCTACCTTTGAGGATTTCGTTGGAAACGGGATTACATATAAAAAGCAGACAGCAGCATTCCCAGAAACTTCTTTGTGTTGTTTGCATTCAAGTCACAGAGTTTAACATTCCCTTTCATAGAGCAGGTTTGAAACACTCTTTTTGTAGTATCTGGATGTGGACATTTGCAGCGCTTTCAGGCCTAAGGTGAAAAAGGAAATATCTTCCCCTGAAAACTAGACAGAAGCATTCGCAGAATCTTATTTGTGATGTGCGCCCTCAACTAACAGTGTTGAAGCTTTCTTTTGATAGAGCAGTTTTGAAACACTCTTTTCGTAAAATCTGCAAGAGGATATTTGGATAGCTTTGAGGATTTCGTTGGAAACGGGATTGTCTTCATATAAACTCTAGACAGAAGCATTCTCAGAAGCTTCATTGGGATGTTTCAATTGAAGTCACAGTGTTGAACAGTCCCTTTCATAGAGCAGGTTTGAAACACTCTTTTTGTAGTATCTGGATGTGGACATTTGGAGCGCTTTCAGGCCTATGGTGAAAAAGGAAATATCTTCCCCTGAAAACTAGACAGAAGCATTCTCAGAAACTTATTTGTGATGTGCGCCCTCAACTAACAGTGTTGAAGCATTCTTTTGATAGAGCAGTTTTGAAACACTCTTTTTGTGGAATCTGCAAGTGGATATTTGTCTAGCTTTGAGGATTTCGTTGGAAACGGGATTACATATAAAAAGCAGACAGCAGCATTCCCAGAAACTTCTTTGTGATGTTTGCATTCAAGTCACAGAGTTGAACATTCCCTTTCAGAGAGCAGGTTTGAAACACTCTTTTTGTAGTATCTGGATGTGGACATTTGGAGCGCTTTCAGGCCTATGGTGAAAAAGGAAATATCTTCCCCTGAAAACTAGACAGAAGCATTCTCAGAAACTTATTTGTGATGTGCGCCCTCAACTAACAGTGTTGAACCTTTCTTTTGATAGAGCAGTTTTGAAACACTCTTTTTGTAATATCTGCAAGAGGATATTTGGATAGCTTTGAGGATTTCGTTGGAAACGGGATTGTCTTCATATAAACTCTAGACAGAAGCATTCTCAGAAGCTTCATTGGGATGTTTCAATTGAAGTCACAGTGTTGAACATTTCCTTTCATAGAACAGGTTTGAAACACTCTTTTTGTAGTATCTGGAAGTGGACATTTGGAGCGCTCTCAGGACTATGGTGAAAAAGGAAATATCTTCCAATAAAAGCTACATAGAAGCAATGTCAGAAACTTTTTCATGATGTATCTACTCAGCTAACAGAGTTGAACCTTTCCTTTGAGAGAGCAGTTTTGAAACACTCTTTTTCTGGAATCTGCAAGTGGATATTTGTCTAGCTTTGAGGATTTCGTTGGAAACGGGATTACATATAAAAAGCAGACAGCAGCATTCCCAGAAACTTCTTTGTGATATTTGCATTCAAGTCACAGACTTGAACATTCCCTTTCACAGAGCAGGTTTGAAACACTCTTTTTGTAGTATCTGGATGTGGACATTTGGAGCGCTTTCAGGCCTATGGTGAAAAAGGAAATATCTTCCCCTGCAAACTAGATAGAAGCATTCTCAGAATTTTATTTGTGATGTGCGCCCTCAACTAACAGTGTTGAAGCTTTCTTTTGATAGAGCAGTTTTGAAACACTCTTTTTGTAAAATCTGCTAGAGGATATTTGGATAGCTTTGAGGATTTCTGTGGAAACGGGATTGTCTTCATATAAACTCTAGACAGAAGCATTCTCAGATGCTTCATTGGGATGTTTCAATTGAAGTCACAGTGTTGAACAGTCCCTTTCATAGAGCAGGTTTGAAACACTCTTTTTGTAGTATCTGGATGTGGACATTTGGAGCGCTTTCAGGCCTATGGTGAAAAAGGAAATATCTTCCCCTGAAAACTAGACAGAAGCATTCTCAGAAACTTATTTGTGATGTGCGCCCTCAACTAACAGTGTTGAAGCTTTCTTTTGATAGAGCAGTTTTGAAACACTCTTTTTGTGGAATCTGCAAGTGGATATTTGTCTAGCTTTGAGGATTTCTTTGGAAACGGGATTACATATAAAAAGCAGACAGCAGCATTCTCAGAAACTTATTTGTGATGTGCGCCCTCAACTAACAGTGTTGAAGCTTTATTTTGATAGAGCAGTTTTGAAACACTCTTTTTGTAATATCTGCAAGAGAATATTTGGATAGCTTTGAGGATTTCGTTGGAAACGGGATTGTCTTCATATAAACTCTAGAAAGAAGCATTCTCAGAAGCTTCATTGGGATGTTTCAATTGAAGTCACAGTGTTGAACAGTCCCTTTCATAGAGCAGGTTTGAAACACTCTTTTTGTAGTATCTGGAAGTGGACATTTGGAGCGCTCTCAGGACTACGGTGAAAAAGGAAATATCTTCCAATAAAAGCTAGATAGAAGCAATGTCAGAAACATTTTCATGATGTATCTACTCAGCTAACAGAGTTGAACCTTTCTTTTGAGAGAGCAGTTTTGAAACACTCTTTTGGTGGAATCTGCAAGTGGATATTTGTCTAGCTTTGAGGATTTCGTTGGAAACGGGATTACATATAAAAAGCAGACAGCAGCATTCCCAGTAACTTCTTTGTGATGTTTGCATTCAAGTCACAGAGTTGAATATTCCCTTTCATAGAGCAGGTTTGAAACACTCTTTTTGTAGTATCTGGATGTGGACATTTGGAGCGCTTTCAGGCCTATGGTGAAAAAGGAAATATCTTCCAATAAAAGCTACATAGAAGCAATGTCAGAAACTTTTTCATGATGTATCTACTCAGCTTACAGAGTTGAACCTTTCTTTTGAGAGAGCAGTTTTGAAACACTCCTTTTGTAAAATCTGCAAGAGGATATTTGGATAGCTTTGAGGATTTCGTTGGAAACGGGATTGTCTTCATATAAACTCTAGACAGAAGCATTCTCAGAAGCTTCATTGGGATGTTTCAATTGAAGTCACAGTGTTGAACAGTCCCTTTCATAGAGCAGGTTTGAAACACTCTTTTTGTAGTATCTGGATGTGGACATTTGGAGCGCTTTCAGGCCTATGGTGAAAAAGGAAATATCTTCCCCTGAAAACTAGACAGAAGCATTCTCAGAAACTTATTTGTGATGTGCGCCCTCAACTAACAGTGTTGAAGCTTTCTCTTGATAGAGCAGTTTTGAAACACTCTTTTTGTGGAATCTGCACGTGGATATTTGTCTAGCTTTGAGGATTTCGTTGGAAACGGGATTACATATAAAAAGCAGACAGCAGCATTCCCAGAATCTTCTTTGTGATGTTTGCATTCAAGTCACAGAGTTGAAAATTCCCTTTCATAGAGCAGGTTTGAAACACTCTTTTTATAGTATCTGGATGTGGACATTTGGAGCGCTTTCAGGCCTAAGGTGAAAAAGGAAATATATTCTCCTGAAAACTAGACAGAAGCATTCTCAGAATCTTATTTGTGATGTGCGCCCTCAACTAACAGTGTTGAAGCTTTCTTTTGATAGAGCAGTTTTGAAACACTCTTTTTGTAAAATCTGCAAGAGGATATTTGGATAGCTTTGAGGATTTCGTTGGAAACGGGATTGTCTTCATATAAACTCTAGACAGAAGCATTCTCAGAAGCTTCATTGGGATGTTTCAATTGAAGTCACAGTGTTGAACAGTCCCTTTCATAGAGCAGGTTTGAAACACTCTTTTTGTAGTATCTGGAAGTGGACATTTGGAGCGCTCTCAGGACTACGGTGAAAAAGGAAGTATCTTCCAATAAAAGCTAGATAGAAGCAATGTCAGAAACTTTTTCATGATGTATCCACTCAGCTAACAGAGTTGAACCTTTCTTTTGAGAGAGCAGTTTTGAAACACTCTTTTTGTGGAATCTGCAAGTGGATATTTGTCTAGCTTTGAGGATTTCGTTGGAAACGGGATTACATATAAAAAGCAGACAGCAGCATTCCCAGAAACTTCTTTGTGATGTTTGCATTCAAGTCACAGAGTTGAACATTCCCTTTCATAGAGCAGGATTGAAACACTCTTTTTGTAGTATCTGGATGTGGACATTTGGAGCGCTTTCAGGCCTATGGTGAAAAAGGAAATATCTTCCCCTGAAAACTAGACAGAAGCATTCTCAGAAACTTATTTGTGATGTGCGCCCTCAACTAACAGTGTTGAAGCTTTCTTTTGATAGAGCAGTTTTGAAACACTCTTTTTGTGGAATCTGCAAGTGGATATTTGTCTAGCTTTGAGGATTTCGTTGGAAACGGGATTACATATAAAAAGCAGACAGCAGCATTCCCAGAATCTTCTTTGTGATGTTTGCATTCAAGTCACAGAGTTGAACATTCCCTTTCATAGAGCAGGTTTGAAACACTCTTTTTATAGTATCTGGATGTGGACATTTGGAGCGCTTTCAGGCCTATGGTGAAAAAGGAAATATCTTCTCCTGAAAACTAGACAGAAGCATTCTCAGAATCCTATTTGTGATGTGCGCCCTCAACTAACAGTGTTGAAGCTTTCTTTTGATAGAGCAGTTTTGAAACACTCTTTTTGTAAAATCTGCAAGAGGATATTTGGATAGCTTTGAGGATTTCGTTGGAAACGGGATTGTCTTCATATAAACTCTAGACAGAAGCATTCTCAGTAAGCTTCATTGGGATGTTTCAATTGAAGTCACAGTGTTGAACAGTCCCTTTCATAGAGCAGGTTTGAAACACTCTTTTTGTAGTATCTGGATGTGGACATTTGGAGCGCTTTCAGGCCTATGGTTTAAAAGGAAATATCTTCCCCTGAAAACTAGACAGAAGCATTCTCAGAAACTTATTTGTGATGTGCGCCCTCAACTAACAGTGTTGAAGCATTCTTTTGATAGAGCAGTTTTGAAACACTCTTTTTGTGGAATCTGCAAGTGGATATTTGTCTAGCTTTGAGGATTTCGTTGGAAACGGGATTACATATAAAAAGCAGACAGCAGCATTCCCAGTAACTTCTTTGTGATGTTTGCATTCAAGTCAGAGAGTTGAACATTCCCTTTCATAGAGCAGGTTTGAAACACTCTTTTTGAAGTATCTGGTTGTGGACATTTGGAGCGCTTTCAGGCCTATGGTGAAAAAGGAAATATCTTCCCCTGAAAACTGGACAGAAGCATTCTCAGGAAACTTATTTGTGATGTGCGCCCTCAACTAACAGTGTTGAAGCTTTCTTTTGATAGAGCAGTTTTGAAACACTCTTTTTGTAATATCTGCAACAGGATATTTGGATAGCTTTGAGGATTTCGTTGGAAACGGGATTGTCTTCATATAAACTCTAGACAGAAGCATTCTCAGATGCTTCATTGGGATGTTTCAATTGAAGTCACAGTGTTGAACAGTCCCTTTCATAGAGCAGGTTTGAAACACTCTTTTTGTAGTATCTGGATGTGGACATTTGGAGCGCTTTCAGGCCTATGGTGAAAAAGGAAATATCTTCCCCTGAAAACTAGACAGAAGCATTCTCAGAAACTTATTTGTGATGTGCGCCCTCAACTAACAGTGTTGAAGCTTTCTTTTGATAGAGCAGTTTTGAAACACTCTTTTTGTGGAATCTGCAAGTGGATATTTGTCTAGCTTTGAGGATTTCGTTGGAAACGGGATTACATATAAAAAGCAGACAGCAGCATTCCCAGAATCTTGTTTGTGATGTTTGCATTCAAGTCACAGAGTTGAACATTCCCTTTCAGAGAGCAGGTTTGAAACACTGTTTTTATAGTATCTGGATGTGGACATTTGGAGCGCTTTCAGGCCTATGGTGAAAAAGGAAATATCTTCTCCTGAAAACTAGACAGAAGCATTCTCAGAATCTTATTTGTGATGTGCGCCCTCAACTAACAGTGTTGAAGCTTTCTTTTGATAGAGCAGTTTTGAAACACTCTTTTTGTAAAATCTGCTAGAGGATATTTGTATAGCTTTGAGGATTTCATTGGAAACGGGATTGTCTTCATATAAACTCTAGACAGAAGTATTCTCAGAAGCTTCATTGGGATGTTTCAATTGAAGTCACAGTGTTGAACAGTCCCTTTCATAGAGCAGGTTTGAAACACTCTTTTTGTAGTATGTGGAAGTGGACATTTGGAGCGCTCTCAGGACTACGGTGAAAAAGGAAATATCTTCCAATAAAAGCTACATAGAAGCAATGTCAGAAACTTTTTCATGATGTATCTACTCAGCTAACAGAGTTGAACCTTTCTTTTGAGAGAGCAGTTTTGAAACACTCTTTTTGTGGAATCTGCAAGTGGATATTTGTCTAGCTTTGAGGATTTCGTTGGAAACGGGATTACATATAAAAAGCTGACAGCAGCATTCCCACAAACTTCTTTGTGATGTTTGCATTCAAGTCACAGAGTTGAACATTCCCTTTCATAGAGCAGGTTTGAAACACTCTTTTTGTAGTATCTGGATGTGGACATTTGGAGCGCTTTCAGGCCTATGGTGAAAAAGGAAATATCTTCCCCTGAAAACTAGACAGAAGCATTCTCAGAATCTTATTTGTGATGTGCGCCCTCAACTAACAGTGTTGAAGCTTTCTTTTGATAGAGCAGTTTTGAAACACTCTTTTTGTAAAATCTGCAAGAGGATATTTGGATAGCTTTGAGGATTTCGTTGGAAACGGGATTGTCTTCATATAAACTCTAGACAGAAGCATTCTCAGAAGCGTCATTGGGATGTTTCAATTGAAGTCACAGTGTTGAACAGTCCCTTTCATAGAGCAGGTTTGAAACACTCTTTTTGTAGTATCTGGATGTGGACATTTGGAGCGCTTTCAGGCCTATGGTTTAAAAGGAAATATCTTCCCCTGAAAACTAGACAGAAGCATTCTCAGAAACTTATTTGTGATGTGCGCCCTCAACTAACAGTGTTGAAGCATTCTTTTGATAGAGCAGTTTTGAAACACTCTTTTTGTGGAATCTGCAAGTGGATATTTGTCTAGCTTTGAGGATTTCGTTGGAAACGGGATTACATATAAAAAGCAGACAGCAGCATTCTCAGAAACTTATTTGTGATGTGCGCCCTCAACTAACAGTGTTGAAGCTTTCTTTTGATAGAGCAGTTTTGAAACACTCTTTTTGTAATATCTGCAAGAGGATATTTGGATAGCTTTGAGGATTTCGTTGGAAACGGGATTAATTATACAAAGCAGACAGCAGCATTCTCAGAAGCTTCATTGGGATGTTTCAATTGAAGTCACAGTGTTGAACAGACCCTTTCATAGAGCAGGTTTGAAACACTCTTTTTGTAGTATCTGGAAGTGGACATTTGGAGCGCTCTCAGGACTGCGGTGAAAAAGGAAATATCTTCCAATAAAAGCTACATAGAAGCAATGTGAGAAACTTTTTCATGATGTATCTACTCAGCTAAAAGAGTTGAACCTTTCTTTTGAGAGAGCAGTTTTGAAACACTCTTTTTGTGGAATCTGCAAGTGGATATTTGTCTAGCTTTGAGGACTTCTTTGGAAAGGGGATTACATATAAAAAGCAGACAGCAGCATTCCTAGAAACTTCTTTGTGATGGTTGCATTCAAGTCACAGAGTTGAACATTCCCTTTCATAGAGCAGGTTTGAAACACTCTTTTTGTAGTATCTGGATGTGGACATTTGGAGCGCTCTCAGGCCTATGGTGAAAAAGGAAATATCTTCCCCTGAAAACTAGATAGAAGCATTCTCAGAAACTTATTTGTGATGTGCGCCCTCAACTAACAGTGTTAAACCTTTCTTTTGATAGAGTAGTTTTGAAACACTCTTTTTGTAAAATCTGCAAGAGGATATTTGGATAGCTTTGAGGATTTCGTTGGAAACGGGATTGTCTTCATATAAACTCTAGACAGTAGCATTCTCAGAAGCTTCATTGGGATGTTTCAATTGAAGTCACAGTGTTGAACAGTCCCTTTCATAGAGCAGGTTTGAAACACTCTTTTTGTAGTATCTGGAAGTGGACATTTGGAGAGATCTCAGGAATACGGTGAAAAAGGAAATATCTTCTCCTGAAAACTAGACAGAAGCATTCTCAGAAACTTATTTGTGATGTGCGCCCTCCACTAACAGTGTTGAAGCTTTCTTTTGATAGAGCAGTTTTGAAACACTCTTTTTGTAAAATCTGCAAGAGGATATTTGGATAGCTTTGAGGATTTCTTTGGAAACTGGATTGTCTTCATATAAACTCTAGACAGAAGCATTCCCAGAATCTTCTTTGTGATGTTTGCATTCAAGTCACAGAGTTGAACATTCCCTTTCATAGGGCAGGTTTGAAACACTCTTTTTGTAGTATCTGGATGTGGACATTTGGAGCGCTTTCAGGCCTATGGTGAAAAAGGAAATATCTTCCCCTGAAAACTAGACCGAAGCATTCTCAGAAACTTATTTGTGATGTGCGCCCTCAACTAACAGTGTTGAAGCTTTCTTTTGATATAGCAGTTTTGAAACACTCTTTTTGTGGAATCTGCAGGTGGATATTTGTCTAGCTTTGAGGATTTCGTTGGAAACGGGATTACATATAAAAAGCAGACAGCAGCATTCCGAGAATCTTGTTTGTGATGTTTGCATTCAAGTCACAGAGTTGAACATTCCCTTTCAGAGAGCAGGTTTGAAACACTCTTTTTATAGTATCTGGATGTGGACATTTTGAGCGCTTTCAGGCCTATGTTGAAAAAGGAAATATCTTCTCCTGAAAACTAGACAGAAGCATTCTCAGAATCTTATTTGTGATGTGCGCCCTCAACTAACAGTGTTGAAGCTTTCTTTTGATAGAGCAGTTTTGAAACACTCTTTTCGTAAAATCTGCAAGAGGATATTTTGATAGCTTTGAGGATTTCGTTGGAAACGGGATTGTCTTCATATAAACTGTAGACAGAAGCATTCTCAGAAGCTTCACTGGGATGTTTCAATTGAAGTCACAGTGTTGAACAGTCCCTTTCATAGAGCAGGTTTGAAACACTCTTTTTGTAGTATCTGGAAGTGGACATTTGGAGAGATCTCAGGAATACGGTGATAAAGGAAATATCTTCCAATAAAAGCTAGATAGAAGCAATGTCAGAAACTTTTTCATGATGTATCTACTCAGCTAACAGAGTTGAACCTTTCTTTTGAGAGAGCAGTTTTGAAACACTCTTTTTGTGGAATCTGCAAGTGGATATTTGTCTAGATTTGAGGATTTCGTTGGAAACGGGATTACATATAAAAAGCAGAAAGCAGCGTTCCCAGAAACTTCTTTGTGATGTTTGCATTCAAGCCACAGAGTTGAACATTCCCTTTCATAGAGCAGGTTTGAAACACTCTTTTTGTAGTATCTGGTTGTGGACATTTGCAGCGCTTTCAGGCCTAAGGTGAAAAAGGAAATATCTTCCCCTGAAAACTAGACAGACGCATTCTCAGAAACTTATTTGTGATGTGCGCCCTCAACTAACAGTGTTGAAGCTTTCTTTTGATAGAGCAGTTTTGAAACACTCTTTTTGTAATATCTGCAAGAGGATATTTGGATAGCTTTGAGGATTTCGTTGGAAACGGGATTGTCTTCATATAAACTCTAGACAGAAGCATTCTCAGAAGCTTCATTGGGATGTTTCAATTGAAGTCACAGTGTTGAACAGTTCCTTTCATAGAACAGGTTTGAAACACTCTTTTTGTAGTATCTGGAAGTGGACATTTGGAGCGCTCTCAGGACTATGGTGAAAAAGGAAATATCTTCCAATAAAAGCTACATAGAAAGCAATGTCAGAAACTTTTTCATGATGTATCTACTCAGCTAACAGAGTTGAACCTTTCCTTTGAGAGAGCAGTTTTGAAACACTCTTTTTGTGGAATCTGCAAGTGGATATTTGTCTAGCTTTGAGGATTTCGTTGGAAACGGGATTACATATAAAAAGCAGACAGCAGCATTCCCAGAAATTTCTTTGTGATGTTTGCATTCAAGTCACAGAGTTGAACATTCCCTTTCATAGAGCAGGTTTGAAACACTCTTTTTGTAGTATCTGGATGTGGACATTTGCAGCGCTTTCAGGCCTATGGTGAAAAAGGAAATATCTTCCCCTGAAAACTAGACAGAAGCATTCTCAGAATGTTATTTGTTATGTGCGCCCTCAACTAACAGTGTTGAAGCTTTCTTTTGATAGAGCAGTTTTGAAACACTCTTTTTGTAAAATCTGCAAGAGGATATTTGGATAGCTTTGAGGATTTCTTTGGAAACGGGATTGTCTTCATATAAACTCTAGACAGAAGCATTCTCAGAAGCTTCATTGGGATGTTTCAATTGAAGTCACAGTGTTGAACAGTCCCTTTCATAGAGCAGGTTTGAAACACTCTTTTTGTAGTATCTGGATGTGGACATTTAGAGCGCTTTCAGGCCTATGGTGAAAAAGGAAATATCTTCCCCTGAAAACTAGACAGAAGCATTCTCAGAAACTTATTTGTGATGTGCCCCCTCAACTAACAGTGTTGAAGCTTTCCTTTGATAGAGCAGTTTAGAAACACTCTTTTTGTGGAATCTGCAAGTGGATATTTGTCTAGCTTTGAGGATTTCGTTGGAAACGGGATTACATATAAAAAGCAGACAGCAGCATTCTCAGAAACTTATTTGTGATGTGCGCCCTCAACTAACAGTGTTGAAGCTTTATTTTGATAGAGCAGTTTTGAAACACTCTTTTTGTAATATCTGCAAGAGAATATTTGGATAGCTTTGAGGATTTCGTTGGAAACGGGATTGTCTTCATATAAACTCTAGAAAGAAGCATTCTCAGAAGCTTCATTGGGATGTTTCAATTGAAGTCACAGTGTTGAACAGTCCCTTTCATAGAGCAGGTTTGAAACACTCTTTTTGTAGTATCTGGAAGTGGACATTTGGAGCACTCTCAGGACTACGGTGAAAAAGGTAATATCTTCCAATAAAAGCTAGATAGAAGCAATGTCAGAAACTTTTTCATGATGTATCTACTCAGCTAACAGAGTTGAACCTTTCTTTTGAGGCAGCAGTTTTCAAACACTCTTTTTGTGGAATCTGCAAGTGGATATTTGTCTAGCTTTGAGGACTTCGTTGGAAACGGGATTACATAAGAAAAGCAGACAGCAGCATTCCCAGAAACTTCTTTGTGATGTTTGCATTCAAGTCACAGAGTTGAACATTCCCTTTCATAGAGCAGGTTTGAAACACTCTTTTTGTAGTATCTGGATGTGGACATTTGGAGCGCTTTCAGGCCTATGCTGAAAAAGGAAATATCTTCCCCTGAAAACTAGACAGAAGCATTCTCAGAAACTTATTTGTGATGTGCACCCTCAACTGACAGTGTTGAAGCTTTCTTTTGATAGAGCAGTTTTGAAACACTCTTTTTGTAAAATCTGCAAGAGGATATTTGGATAGCTTTGAGGATTTCGTTGGAAACGGGATTGTCTTCATATAAACTCTAGACAGTAGCATTCTCAGAAGCTTCATTGGGATGTTTCAATTGAAGTCACAGTGTTGAACAGTCCCTTTCATAGAGCAGGTTTGAAACACTCTTTTTGTAGCATCTGGAAGTGGACATTTGGAGCGCTCTCAGGACTATGGTGAAGAAGGAAATATCTTCCAATAAAAGCTAGATAGAAGCAATATCAGAAACTTTTTCATGATGTATCTACTCAGATAACAGAGTTGAACCTTTTTTTTTAGAGAGCAGTTTTGAAACACTCTTTTTGTGGAATCTGCAAGTGGATATTGGTCTAGCTTTGAGGATTTCGTTGGAAACGGGATTGTCTTCATATAAAATCTAGACAGAAGCATTCCCAGAAACTTCTTTGTGATGTTTGCATTCACGTCACAGAGTTGAACATTCCTTTTCATAGAGCAGGTTTGAAACACTCTTTTTGTAGTATCTGGATGTGGACATTTGGAGCGCTTTCAGGCCTATGGTGAAAAAGGAAATATCTTCCCCTGAAAACTAGACAGAAGCATTCTCAGAAACTTATTTGTGATGTGCGCCCTCAACTAACAGTGTGGAAGCTTTCTTTTGATAGAGCAGTTTTGAAACACTCTTTTTGTAATATCTGCAAGAGGATATTTAGATAGCTTTGAGGATTTCGTTGGAAACGGGATTAATTATAAAAAGCAGATAGCAGCATTCCCAGAATCTTGTTTGTGATGTTTGCATTCAAGTCACAGAGTTGAACATTCCCTTTCAGAGAGCAGGTTTGAATCACTCTTTTTATAGTATCTGGATGTGGACATTTGGAGCGCTTTCAGGCCTATGGTGAAAAAGGAAATATCTTCTCCTGAAAACTAGACAGAAGCATTCTCAGAATCTTATTTGTGATGTGCGCCCTCAACTAACAGAGTTGAAGCTTTCTTTTGATAGAGCAGTTTTGAAACACTCTTTTTGTAAAATCTGCAAGAGGATATTTGGATAGCTTTGAGGATTTCGTTGGAAACGGGATTGTCTTCATATAAACTCTAGACAGAAGCATTCTCAGAAGCTTCATTGGGATGTTTCAATTGAAGTCACAGTGTTGAACAGTCCCTTTCATAGAGCAGGTTTGAAACACTCTTTTTGTAGTATCTGGAAGTGGACATTTGGAGAGATCTCAGGAATACGGTGATAAAGGAAATATCTTCCAATAAAAGCTAGATAGAAGCAATGTCAGAAACTTTTTCATGATGTATCTACTCAGCTAACAGAGTTGAACCTTTCCTTTGAGAGAGCAGTTTTGAAACACTCTTTTTGTGGAATCTGCAAGTGGATATTTGTCTAGCTTTGAGGATTTCGTTGGAAACGGGATTACATATAAAAAGCAGACAGCAGCATTCCCAGTAACTTCTTTGTGATGTTTGCATTCAAGTCACAGAGTTGAACATTCCCTTTCATAGAGCAGGTTTGAAACACTCTTTTTGTAGTATCTGGATGTGGACATTTGGAGCGCTTTCAGGCCTACGGTGAAAAAGGAAATATCTTCCCCTGAAAACTAGACAGAAGCATTCTCAGAATCTTATTTGTGATGTGCGCCCTCAACTAACAGTGTTGAAGCTTTCTTTTGATAGAGCAGTTTTGAAACACTCTTTTTGTAAAATCTGCAAGAGGATATTTGGATAGCTTTGAGGATTTCGTTGGAAACGGGATTGTCTTCATATAAACTCTAGACAGAAGCATTCTCAGAAGCTTCATTGGGATGTTTCAATTGAAGTCACAGTGTTGAACAGTCGCTTTCATAGAGCAGGTTTGAAACACTCTTTTTGTAGTATCTGGAAGTGGACATTTGGAGCGCTCTCAGGACTACGGTGAAAAAGGAAATATCTTCCAATAAAAGCTAGATAGAAGCAATGTCAGAAACTTTTTCATGATGTATCTACTCAACTAACAGTGTTGAAGCATTCTCTTGATAGAGCAGTTTTGAAACACTCTTTTTGTGGAATCTGCAAGTGGATATTTGTCTAGCTTTGAGGATTTCGTTGGAAACGGGATTACATATAAAAAGCAGACAGCAGCATTCCCAGAAACTTCTTTGTGATGTTTGCATTCAAGTCACAGAGTTGAACATTCCCTTTCATAGAGCAGGTTTCAAACACTCTTTTTGTAGTATCTGTATGTGGACATTTGGAGCGCTTTCAGGCCTATGGTGAAAAAGGAAATATCTTCCCCTGAAAACTAGACAGAAGCATTCTCAGAAACTTATTTGTGATGTGCGCCCTCAACTAACAGTGTTGAAGCTTTCTTTTGATAGAGCAGTTTTGAAACACTCTTTTTGTAAAATCTGCAAGAGGATATTTGGATAGCTTTGAGGATTTCGTTGGAAACGGGATTGTCTTCATATAAACTCTAGACAGAAGCATTCTCAGAAGCTTCATTGGGATGTTTCAATTGAAGTCACAGTGTTGAACAGTCCCTTTCATAGAGCAGGTTTGAAACACTCTTTGTGTAGTATCTGGAAGTGGACATTTGGAGCGCTCTCAGGACTGTGGTGAAAAAGGAAATATCTTCCAATAAAAGCTAGATAGAAGCAATGTCAGAAACTTTTTCATGATGTATCTACTCAGCTAACAGAGTTGAACCTTCCTTTGAGAGAGCAGTTTTGAAACACTCTTTTTGTGGAATCTGCAAGTGGATATTTGTCTAGCTTTGAGGATTTCGTTGGAAACGGGATTACATATAAAAAGCAGACAGCAGCATTCCCAGAAACTTCTTTGTGATGTTTGCATTCAAGTCACAGAGTTGAACATTCCCTTTCATAGAGCAGGTTTGAAACACTCTTTTTGTAGTATCTGGATGTGGACATTTGGAGCGCTTTCGGGCCTATGGTGAAAAAGGAAATATCTTCCCCTGAAAACTAGACAGAAGCATTCTCAGAAACTTATTTGTGATGTGCGCCCTCAACTAACAGTGTTGAAGCTTTCTTTTGGTAGAGCAGTTTTGAAACACTCTTTTTATAATATCTGCAAGAGGATATTTGGATAGCTTTGAGGATTTCGTTGGAAACGGGATTGTCTTCATATAAAGTCTAGACAGAAGCATTCTCAGAAGCTTCATTGGGATGTTTCAATTGAAGTCACAGTGTTGAACAGTTCCTTTCATAGAACAGGTTTGAAACACTCTTTTTGTAGTATCTGGAAGTGGACATTTGGAGGGCTCTCAGGACTATGGTGAAAAAGGAAATATCTTCCAATAAAAGCTACATAGAAGCAATGTCAGAAACTTTTTCATGATGTATCTACTCAGCTAACAGAGGTGAACCTTTCCTTTGAGAGAGCAGTTTTGAAACACTCTTTTTGTGGAATCTGCAAGTGGATATTTGTCTAGCTTTGAGGATTTCGTTGGAAACGGGATTACATATAAAAAGCAGACAGCGCATTCCCAGAAAACTTCTTTGTGATATTTGCATTCAAGTCACAGAGTTGAACATTCCCTTTCATAGAGCAGGTTTGAAACACTCTTTTTGTAGTATCTGGATGTGGACATTTGGAGCGCTTTCAGGCCTATGGTGAAAACGGAAATATCTTCCCCTGAAAACTAGACAGAAGCATTCTCAGAATCTTATTTGTGATGTGCGCCCTCAACTAACAGTGTTGAAGCTTTCTTTTGATAGAGCAGTTTTGAAACACTCTTTTTGTAAAATCTGCAAGAGGATATTTGGATAGCTTTGAGGATTTCGTTGGAAACGGGATTGTCTTCATATAAACTCTAGACAGAAGCATTCTCAGAAGCTTCATTGGGATGTTTCAATTGAAGTCACAGTGTTGAACAGTCCCTTTCATAGAGCAGGTTTGAAACACTCTTTTTGTAGTATCTGGAAGTGGACATTTGGAACGCTCTCAGGACTGCGGTGAAAAAGGAAATATCTTCCAATAAAAGCTAGATAGAAGCAATGTCAGAAACTTTTTCATGATGTATCTACTCAGCTAACAGAGTTGAACCTTTCTTTTGAGAGAGCAGTTTTGAAACACTCTTTTTGTGGAATCTGCAAGTGGATATTTGTCTAGCATTGAGGATTTCGTTGGAAACGGGATTACATATAAAAAGCAGACAGCAGCATTCCCAGAAACTTCTTTGTGATGTTTGCATTCAAGTCACAGAGTTGAACATTCCCTTTCATAGAGCAGGTTTGAAACACTCTTTTTGTAGTATCTGTATGTGGACATTTGGAGCGCTTTCAGGCCTATGGTGAAAAAGGAAATATCTTCCCCTGAAAACTAGACAGAAGCATTCTCAGAAACTTATTTGTGATGTGCTCCCTCAACTAACAGTGTTGAACCTTTCTTTTGATAGAGCAGTTTTGAAACACTCTTTTTGTAATATCTGCAAGAGGATATTTGGATAGCTTTGAGGATTTCGTTGGATACGGGATTGTCTTCATATAAACTCTAGACAGAAGCATTCTCAGAAGCTTCATTGGGATGTTTCAATTGAAGTCACAGTGTTGAACAGTTCCTTTCATAGAACAGGTTTGAAACACTCTTTTTGTAGTATCTGGAAGTGGACATTTGGAGAGCTCTCAGGACTACGGTGAAAAAGGAAATATCTTCCAATAAAAGCTACATAGAAGCAATGTCAGAAACTTTTTCATGATGTATCTACTCAGCTAACAGAGTTGAACCTTTCCTTTGAGAGAGCAGTTTTGAAACACTCTTTTTGTGGAATCTGCAAGTGGATATTTGTCTAGCTTTGAGGATTTCGTTGGAAACGGGATTACATATAAAAAGCAGACAGCAGCATTCCCAGTAACTTCTTTGTGATGTTTGCATTCAAGTCAGAGAGTTGAACATTCCCTTTCATAGAGCAGGTTTGAAACACTCTTTTTGAAGTATCTGGATGTGGACATTTGGAGCGCTTTCAGGCCTATGGTGAAAAAGGAAATATCTTCCCCTGAAAACTAGACAGAAGCATTCTCAGAATCTTATTTGTGATGTGCACCCTCAACTAACAGTGTTGAAGCTTTCTTTTGATAGAGCAGTTTTGAAACACACTTTTCGTAAAATCTGCAAGAGGACATTTGGATAGCTTTGAGGATTTCGTTGGAAACGGGATTGTCTTCATATAAACTCTAGACAGAAGCATTCTCAGAAGCTTCATTGGGATGTTTCAATTGAAGTCACAGTGTTGAACAGTCCCTTTCATAGAGCAGGTTTGAAACACTCTTTTTGTAGTATCTGGATGTGGACATTTGGAGCGCTTTCAGGCATATGGTGAAAAAGGAAATATCTTCCCCTGAAAACTAGACAGAAGCATTCTCAGTAAACTTATTTGTGATGTGCGCCCTCAACTAACAGTGTTGAACCTTTCTTTTGATAGAGCAGTTTTGAAACACTCTTTTTGTAATATCTGCAAGAGGATATTTGGATAGCTTTGAGGATTTCGTTGGAAACGGGATTACATATAAAAAGCAGACAGCAGCATTCTCAGAATCTTATTTGTGATGTGCGCCCTCAACTAACAGTGTTGAAGCTTTCTTTTGATAGAGCAGTTTTGAAACACTCTTTTTGTGAAATCTGCAAGAGGATATTTGGATAGCTTTGAGGATTTCGTTGGAAACGGGATTGTCTTCATATAAACTCTAGACAGAAGCATTCTCAGAAGCTTCATTGGGATGTTTCAATTGAAGTCAACAGTGTTGAACAGTCCCTTTCATAGAGCAGGTTTGAAACACTCTTTTTGTAGTATCTGGAAGTGGACATTTGGAGAGATCTCAGGAATACGGTGATAAAGGAAATATCTTCCAATAAAAGCTAGATAGAAGCAATGTCAGAAACTTTTTCATGATGTATCTACTCAGCTAACAGAGTTGAACCTTTCTTTTGAGAGAGCAGTTTTGAAACACTCTTTTTGTGGAATCTGCAAGTGGATATTTGTCTAGCTTTGAGGATTTCGTTGGAAACGGGATTACATATAAAAAGCAGACAGCAGCATTCCCAGCAAACTTCTTTGTGATGTTTGCATTCAAGTCACAGAGTTGAACATTCCCTTTCATAGAGCAGGTTTGAAACACTCTTTTTGTAGTATGTGGATGTGGACATTTGGAGCGCTTTCAGGCCTATGGTGAAAAAGGAAATATCTTCCCCAGAAAACTAGACAGAAGCATTCTCAGAATCTTATTTGTGATGTGCGCCCTCAACTAACAGTGTTTAACCTTTCTTTTGATAGAGCAGTTTTGAAACACTCTTTTTGTAATATCTGCAAGAGGATATTTGGATAGCTTTGAGGATTTCGTTGGAAACGGGATTGTCTTCATATAAACTCTAGACAGAAGCATTCTCAGAAGCTTCATTGGGATGTTTCAATTGAAGTCACAGTGTTTAACAGTCCCTTTCATAGAGCAGGTTTGAAACACTCTTTTTTTAGGATCTGGAAGTGGACATTTGGAGAGATCTCAGGAATACGGTGATAAAGGAAATATCTTCCAATAAAAGCTAGATAGAAGCAATGTCAGAAACTTTTTCATGATGTATCTACTCAGCTAACAGAGTTGAACCTTTCTTTTGAGAGAGCAGTTTTGAAACACTCTTTTTGTGGAATCTGCAAGTGGATATTTGTCTAGCTTTGAGGATTTCGTTGGAAACGGGATTACATATAAAAAGCAGACAGCCAGCATTCCCAGTAAACTTCTTTGTGAAGTTTGCATTCAAGTCACAGAGTTGAACATTCCCTTTCATAGAGCAGGTTTGAAACACTCTTTTTGTAGTATCTGTATGTGGACATTTGGAGCGCTTTCAGGCCTATGGTGAAAAAGGAAATATCTTCCCCTGAAAACTAGACAGAAGCATTCTCAGAATCTTATTTGTGATGTGCGCCCTCAACTAACAGTGTTGAACTTTTCTTTTGATAGAGCTGTTTTGAAACACTCTTTTTGTAAAATCTGCAAGAGGATATTTGGATAGCTTTGAGGATTTCCTTTGAAACGGGATTGTCTACATATAAAATCTAGACAGAAGCATTCTCAGAAGCTTCATTGGGATGTTTCAATTGAAGTCACTGTGTTGAACAGTCCCTTTCATAGAGTATGTTTGAAACACTCTTTTTGTAGTATCTGGAAGTTGACATTTGGAGCGTTTTCAGGACTACGGTGAAAAAGGAAATATCTTCCAAATAAAGCTAGGTAGAAGCAATGTCAGAAACTTTTTCATCATGTGTCTACTCAGCTAAAAGAGTTGAACCTTTCTTTTGAGAGAGCAGTTTTGAAACACTCTTTTTGTGGAATCTGCAAGTGGATATTTGTCTAGCTTTGAGGATTTCGTTGGAAACGGGATTACATATAAAAAGCAGACAGCAGCATTCCCAGAAACTTCTTTGTGAAGTTTGCATTCAAGTCACAGAGCTGAACATTCTCTTTCATAGAGCAGGTTTGAAACACTCTTTTTGTAGTATCTGGATGTGGACATTTGGAGCGCTTTCAGGCCTATGGTGAAAAAGGAAATATCTTCCCCTGAAAACTAGACAGAAGCATTCTCAGAATCTTATTTGTGATGTGCGCCCTCAACTAACAGTGTTGAAGCTTTCTTTTGATAGAGCAGTTTTGAAACACTCTTTTTGTAAAATCTGCAAGAGGATATTTGGATAGCTTTGAGGATTTCGTTGGAAACGGGATTGTCTTCATATAAACTCTAGACAGAAGCATTCTCAGAAGCTTCATTGGGATGTTTCAATTGAAGTCACAGTGTTGAACAGTCCCTTTCATAGAGCAGGTTTGAAACACTCTTTTTGTAGTATCTGGAAGTGGACATTTGGAGCGCTCTCAGGACTGCGGTGAAAAAGGAAATATCTTCCAATAAAAGCTAGATAGAAGCAATGTCAGAAACTTTTTCATGATGTATCTACTCAGCTAACAGAGTTGAACCTTCCTTTGAGAGAGCAGTTTTGAAACACTCTTTTTGTGGAATCTGCAAGTGGATATTTGTCTAGCTTTGAGGATTTCGTTGGAAACGGGATTACATATAAAAAGGAGACAGCAGCATTCCCAGAAACTTCTTTGTGATGTTTGCATTCAAGTCACAGAGTTGAACATTCCCTTTCATAGAGCAGGTTTGAAACACTCTTTTTGTAGTATCTGGATGTGGACATTTGGAGTGCTTTCAAGCCTATGGTGAAAAAGGAAATATCTTCCCCTGAAAACTAGACAGAAGCATTCTCAGAAACTTATTTGTGATGTGCGCCCTCAACTAACAGTGTTGAAGCTTTCTTTTGATAGAGCAGTTTTGAAACACTCTTTTTGTAATATCTGCAAGAGGATATTTGGATAGCTTTGAGGATTTCGTTGGAAACGGGATTGTCTTCATATAAACTCTAGACAGAAGCATTCTCAGAAGCTTCATTGGGATGTTTCAATTGAAGTCACAGTGTTGAACAGTCCCTTTCATAGAGCAGGTTTGAAACACTCTTTTTGTAGTATCTGGAAGTGGACATTTGGAACGCTCTCAGGACTGCGGTGAAAAAGGAAATATCTTCCAATAAAAGCTAGATAGAAGCAATGTCAGAAAATTTTTCATGATGTATCTACTCAGCTAACAGAGTTGTACCTTTCTTTTGAGAGAGCAGTTTTGAAACACTCTTTTTGTGGAATCTGGAAGTGGATATTTGTCTAGCTTTGAGGATTGCGTTTGAAACGGGATTACATATAAAAAGCAGCACAGCAGCATTCCCAGAAACTTCTTTGTGATATTTGCATTCAAGTCACAGACTTGAACATTCCCTTTCATAGAGCAGGTTTGAAACACTCTTTTTGTAGTATCTGGATGTGGACATTTGGAGCGCTTTCAGGCCTATGGTGAAAAAGGAAATATCTTCCCCTGAAAACTAGACAGAAGCATTCTCAGAAACTTATTTGTGATGTGCGCCCTCAACTAACAGTGTTGAACTTTTCTTTTGATAGAGCAGTTTTGAAACACTCTTTTTGTAAAATCTGCAAGAGGATATTTGGATAGCTTTGAGGATTTCGTTGGAAACGGGATTGTCTTCATATAAACTCTAGACAGAAGCATTCTCAGAAGCTTCATTGGGATGTTTCAATTGAAGTCACAGTGTTGAACAGTCCCTTTCATAGAGCATGTTTGAAACAATCTTTTTGTAGTATCTGGAAGTGGACATTTGGAGCGCTCTCAGGACTACGGTGAAAAAGGAAATATCTTCCAAATAAAGCTAGATAGAAGCAATGTCAGAGAATTTTTCATGATGTATCTACTCAGCTAACAGAGTTGAACCTTTCTTTTGAGAGAGCCGTTTTGAAACACTCTTTTTGTGGAATCTGCAAGTGGATATTTGTCTAGCTTTGAGGATTTCGTTGGAAACGGGATTACATAGAAAAAGCAGACAGCAGCATTCCCAGAAACTTCTTTGTGATATTTGCATTCAAGTCACAGAGTTGAACATTCCCTTTCATAGAGCAGGTTTGAAACACTCTTTTTGTAGTATCTGCATGTGGACATTTGGAGCGCTTTCAGGCCTATGGTGAAAAAGGAAATATCTTCCCCTGAAAACTAGACAGAAGCATTCTCAGAAACTTATTTGTGATGTGCGCCCTCAACTAACAGTGTTGAAGCTTTCTTTTGATAGAGCAGTTTTGAAACACTCTTTTTGTAAAATCTGCAAGAGGATATTTGGATAGCTTTGAGGATTTCGTTGGAAACGGGATTGTCTTCATATACAATCTAGACAGAAGCATTCTCAGAAGCTTCATTGGGATGTTTCAATTAAAGTCACAGTGTTGAACAGTCCCTATCGTAGAGCAGGTTTGAAACACTCTTTTTGTAATATCTGGAAGTGGAGATTTGGAGCACTCTCAGGACTACGGTGAAAAAGGAAATATCTTCCAATAAAAGCTAGATAGAAGCAATGTCAGAAACTTTTTCATGATGTATCTACTCAGCTAACAGAGTTGAACCTTTTTTTTGAGAGAGCAGTTTTGAAACACTCTTTTTGTTGGATCTGCAGGTGGATATTTGTCTAGCTTTGAGGATTTCGTTGGAAACGGGATTACATATAAAAAGCAGACAGCAGCATTCCCAGAATCTTCTTTGTGATGTTTGCATTCAAGTCACAGAGTTGAACATTCCCTTTCATAGAGCAGGTTTGAAACACTCTTTTTATAGTATCTAGATGTGGACATTTGGAGCGCTTTCAGGCCTATGGTGAAAAAGGAAATATCTTCCCCTGAAAACTAGACAGAAGCATTCTCAGAATCTTATTTGTGATGTGCGCCCTCAACTAACAGTGTTGAACCTTTCTTTTGATAGAGCAGTTTTGAAACACTCTTTTTGTAAAATCTGCAAGAGGATATTTGGATAGCTTTGAGGATTTCGTTGGAAACGGGATTGTCTTCATATAAACTCCAGACAGAAGCATTCTCAGTAAGCTTCATTGGGATGTTTCAATTGAAGTTACAGTGTTGAACAGTCCCTTTCATAGAGCAGGTTTCAAACACTCTTTTTGTAGTATCTGGATGTGGACATTTGGAGCGCTTTCAGGCCTATGGTTTAAAAGGAAATATCTTCCCCTGAAAACTAGACAGAAGCATTCTCAGAAACTTATTTGTGATGTGCGCCCTCAACTAACAGTGTTGAAGCATTCTTTTGATAGAGCAGTTTTGAAACACTCCTTTTGTGGAATCTGCAAGTGGATATTTGTCTAGCTTTGAGGATTTCGTTGGAAACGGGATTACATATAAAAAGCAGACAGCAGCATTCCCAGAAACTTCTTTGTGATGTTTGCATTCACGTCACAGAGTTGAACATTCCCTTTCATAGAGCAGGTTTGAAACACTCTTTTTGTAGTATCTGGATGTGGACATTTGGAGCGCTTTCAGGCCTATGGTGAAAAAGGAAATATCTTCCCCTGAAAACTAGACAGAAGCATTCTCAGAATCTTATTTGTGATGTGTGCCCTCAACTAACAGTGTTGAAGCTTTCTTTTGATAGAGCAGTTTTGAAACACTCTTTTTGTAAAATCTGCAAGAGGATATTTGGATAGCTTTGAGGATTTCGTTGGAAACGGGATTGTCTTCATATAAACTCTAGACAGAAGCATTCTCAGAAGCTTCATTGGGATGTTTCAATTGAAGTCACAGTGTTGAACAGTCCCTTTCATAGAGCAGGTTTGAAACACTCTTTTTGTAGTATCTGGATGTGGACATTTGGAGCGCTTTCAGGCCTATGGTTTAAAAGGAAATATCTTCCCCTGAAAACTAGACAGAAGCATTCTCAGAAACTTATTTGTGATGTGCGCCCTCAACTAACAGTGTTGAAGCATTCTTTTGATAGAGCAGTTTTGAAACACTCTTTTTGTGGAATCTGCAAGTGGATATTTGTCTAGCTTTGAGGATTTCGTTGGAAACGGGATTAATTATAAATAGCAGACAGCAGCATTCTCAGTAAACTTATTTGTGATGTGCGCCCTCAACTAACAGTGTTGAACCTTTCTTTTGATAGAGCAGTTTTGAAACACTCTTTTTGTAATATCTGCAAGAGGATATTTGGATAGCTTTGAGGATTTCGTTGGAAACGGGATTGTCTTCATATAAACTCTAGACAGAAGCATTCTCAGAAGCTTCATTGGGATGTTTCAATTGAAGTCACAGTGTTGAACAGTCCCTTTCATAGAGCAGGTTTGAAACACTCTTTTTGTAGTATCTGGAAGTGGACATTTGGAGCGCTCTCAGGACTACGGTGAAAAAGGAAATATCTTCCAATAAAAGCTAGATAGAAGCAATGTCAGAAAATTTTTCATGATGTATCTACTCAGCTAACAGAGTTGAACCTTTCTTTTGAGAGAGCAGTTTTGAAACACTCTTTTTGTGGAATCTGCAAGTGGATATTTGTCTAGCTTTGAGGATTTCGTTGGAAACGGGATTACATATAAAAAGCAGACAGCAGCATTCCCAGAAACTTCTTTGTGATGTTTGCATTCAAGTCACAGAGTTGAACATTCCCTTTCATAGAGCAGGTTTGAAACACTCTTTTTGTAGTATCTGGATTTGGACATTTGGAGCGCTTTCAGGCCTATGGTGAAAAAGGAAATATATTCCACTGAAAACTAGACAGAAGCATTCTCAGAAACTTATTTGTGATGTGCGCCCTCAACTAACAGTGTTAAACCTTTCTTTTGATAGAGTAGTTTTGAAACACTCTTTTTGTAAAATCTGCAAGAGGATATTTGGATAGCTTTGAGGATTTCGTTGGAAACGGGATTGTCTTCATATAAAATCTAGACAGAAGCATTCTCAGAAGCTTCATTGGGATGTTTCAATTGAAGTCACAGTGTTGAACAGTCCCTTTCATAGAGCAGGTTTGAAACACTCTTTTTGTAGTATCTGGAAGTGGACATTTGGAGCGTTCTCAGGACTACGGTGAAAAAGGAAATATCTTCCAATAAAAGCTAGATAGAAGCAATGTCAGAAACTTTTTCATGATGTATCTACTCAGCTAACAGCAGTTGAACCTTTCTTTTGAGACAGCAGTTTTGAAACACTCTTTTTGTGGAATCTGGAAGTGGATATTTGTCTAGCTTTGAGGATTTCGTTGGAAACGGGATTACATATAAAAAGCAGACAGCAGCATTCCCAGAAACTTCTTTGTGATGTTTGCATTCAAGTCACAGAGTTGAACATTCCCTTTCATAGAGCAGGTTTGAAACACTCTTTTTGTAGTATCTGGATGTGGACATTTGCAGCGCTTTCAGGCATAAGGTGAAAAAGGAAATATCTTCCCCTGAAAACTAGACAGAAGCATTCTCAGAAACTTATTTGTGATGTGCGCCCTCAACTAACAGTGTTGAACCTTTCTTTTGATAGAGCAGTTTTGAAACACTCTTTTTGTAATATCTGCAAGAGGATATTTGGATAGCTTTGAGGATTTCTTTGGAAACGGGATTGTCTTCATATAAACTCTAGACAGAAGCATTCCCAGTAACTTCTTTGTGATGTTTGCATTCAAGTCACAGAGTTGAACATTCCCTTTCAGAGAGCAGGTTTGAAACACTTTTTTTGTAGTATCTGGATGTGGACATTTGGAGCGCTTTCAGGCCTATGGTGAAAAAGGAAATATCTTCCAATAAAAGCTACATAAAAGCAATGTCAGAAACTTTTTCATGATGTATCTACTCAGCTAACAGAGTTGAACCTTTCTTTTGAGAGAGCAGTTTTGAAACACTCTTTTTGTGGAATCTGGAAGTGGATATTTGTCTAGCTTTGAGGATTTCGTTGGAAACGGGATTACATATAAAAAGCAGACAGCAGCATTCCCAGTAACTTCTTTGTGATGTTTGCATTCAAGTCACAGAGTTGAACATTCCCTTTCATAGAGCAGGTTTGAAACACTCTTTTTGTAGTATCTGGATGTGGACATTTGGAGCGCTTTCAGGCCTATGGTGAAAAAGGAAATATCTTCCCCAGAAAACTAGACAGAAGCATTCTCAGAAACTTATTTGTGATGTGCGCCCTTAACTAACAGTGTTGAAGCTTTCTTTTGATAGAGCAGTTTTGAAACACTCTTTTTGTAAAATCTGCAAGAGGATATTTGGATAGCTTTGAGGATTTCGTTGGAAACGGGATTGTCTTCATATAAAATCTAGACAGAAGCATTCTCAGAAGCTTCATTGGGATGTTTCAATTGAAGTCACAGTGTTGAACAGTCCCTTTCATAGAGCAGGTTTGAAACACTCTTTTTGTAGTATCTGGATGTGGACATTTGGAGCGCTTTCAGGCCTATGGTGAAAAAGGAAATATCTTCCCCTGAAAACTAGACAGAAGCATTCTCAGAAACTTATTTGTGATGTGCGCCCTCAACTAACAGTGTTGAAGCTTTCTCTTGATAGAGCAGTTTTGAAACACTCTTTTTGTGGAATCTGCAAGTGGATATTTGTCTAGCTTTGAGGATTTCGTTGGAAACGGGATTACATATAAAAAGCAGACAGCAGCATTCTCAGAAACTTATTTGTGATGTGCGCCCTCAACTAACAGTGTTGAAGCTTTCTTTTGATAAAGCAGTTTTGAAACACTCTTTTTGTAAAATCTGCAAGAGGATATTTGGATAGCTTTGAGGATTTCGTTGGAAACGGGATTGTCTTCATATAAACTCTAGACAGAAGCATTCTCAGAAGCTTCATTGGGATGTTTCAATTGAAGTCACAGTGTTGAACAGTCCCTTTCATAGAGCAGGTTTGAAACACTCTTTTTGTAGTATCTGGAAGTGGACATTTGGAGAGATCTCAGGAATACGGTGATAAAGGAAATATCTTCCAATAAAAGCTAGATAGAAGCAATGTCAGAAACTTTTTCATGATGTATCTACTCAGCTAACAGAGTTGAACCTTTCTTTTGAGAGAGCAGTTTTGAAACACTCTTTTTGAGGAATCTGCATGTGGATATTTGTCTAGCTTTGAGGATTTCGTTGGAAACGGGATTACATATAAAAAGCAGACAGCAGCATTCCCAGAAACTTCTTTGTGAAGTTTGCATTCAAGTCACAGAGTTGAACATTCCCTTTCATAGAGCAGGTTTGAAACACTCATTTGTAGTATCTGGATGTGGACATTTGGAGCGCTTTCAGGCCTATGGTGAAAAAGGAAATATCTTCCCCTGAAAACTAGACAGAAGCATTCTCAGAATCTTATTTGTGATGTGCGCCCTCAACTAACAGTGTTGAAGCTTTCTTTTGATAGAGCAGTTTTGAAACACTCTTTTTGTAAAATCTGCAAGAGGATATTTGGATTGCTTTGAGGATTTCTTTGGAAACGGGATTGTCTTCATATAAACTCTAGACAGAAGCATTCTCAGAAGCTTCATTGGGATGTTTCAATTGAAGTCACAGTGTTGAACAGTCCCTTTCATAGAGCAGGTTTGAAACACTCTTTTTGTAGTATCTGGAAGTGGACATTTGGAGCGTTCTCAGGACGGCGGTGAAAAAGGAAATATCTTCCAATAAAAGCTAGATAGAAGCAATGTCAGAAACTTTTTCATGATGTATCTACTCAGCTAACAGAGTTCAACATTTTTTCTGAGAGAGCAGTTTTGAAACACTCTTTTTGTGGGATCTGCAGGTGGATATTTGTCTAGCTTTCAGGATTATGTTGGAAACGGGATTACATATAAAAAGCAGACAGCAGCATTCCCAGAAACTTCTTTGTGATGTTTGCATTCAAGTCACAGATTTGAACATTCCCTTTCATAGAGCAGGTTTGAAACACACTTTTTGTAGTATCTGTATGTGGACATTTGCAGCGCTTTCAGGCCTAAGGTGAAAAAGGAAATATCTTCCCCTGAAAACTAGACAGAAGCATTCTCAGAAACTTATTTGTGATGTGCGCCCTCAACTAACAGTGTTGAACCTTTCTTTTGATAGAGCAGTTTTGAAACACTCTTTTTGTAATATCTGCAAGAGGATATTTGGATAGCTTTGAGGATTTCGTTGGAAACGGGATTGTCTTCATATAAACTCTAGACAGAAGCATTCTCAGAAGCTTCATTGGGATGTTTCAATTGAAGTCACAGTGTTGAACAGTCCCTTTCATAGAGCAGGTTTGAAACACTCTTTTTGTAGTATCTGGATGTGGACATTTGGAGCGCTTTCAGGCCTATGGTTTAAAAGGAAATATCTTCCCCTGAAAACTAGACAGAAGCATTCTCAGAAACTTATTTGTGATGTGCGCCCTCAACTAACAGTGTTGAAGCTTTCTTTTGATAGAGCAGTTTTGAAACACTCTTTTTGTGGAATCTGCAAGTGGATATTTGTCTAGCTTTGAGGATTTCGTTGGAAACGGGATTACATATAAAAAGCAGACAGCAGCATTCCCAGAATCTTGTTTGTGATGTTTGCATTCAAGTCACAGAGTTGAACATTCCCTTTCATAGAGCAGGTTTGAAACACTCTTTTTATAGTATCTGGATGTGCACATTTGGAGCGCTTTCAGGCCTATGGTGAAAAAGGAAATATCTTCTCCTGAAAACTAGACAGAAGCATTCTCAGAAACTTATTTGTGATGTGCGCCCTCAACTAACAGTGTTGAACCTTTCTTTTGATAGAGCAGTTTTGAAACACTCTTTTTGTAAAATCTGCAAGAGGATATTTGGATAGCTTTGAGGATTTCGTTGGAAACGGGATTGTCTTCATATAGAATCTAGACAGAAGCATTCTCAGAAGCTTCATTCGGATGTTTCAATTGAAGTCACAGTGTTGAACAGTCCCTTTCATAGAGCATGTTTGAAACACTCTTTTTGTAGTATCTGGAAGTGGACATTTGGAGCGTTCTCAGGACTACAGTGAAAAAGGAAATATCTTCCAATAAAAGCTAGATAGAAGCAATGTCAGAAAATTTTTCATGATGTATCTACTCAGCTAACAGAGTTGAACCTTTCTTTTGAGAGAGCAGTTTTGAAACACTCTTTTTGTGTAATCTGCAAGTGGATATTTGTCTAGTTTTGAGGATTGCGTTGGAAACGGGATTACATATAAAAAGCCGACAGCAGCATTCCCAGAAACTTCTTTTGTGATGTTTGCATTCAAGTCACAGAGTTGAACATTCCCTTTCATAGAGCAGGTTTGAAACACTCTTTTTGTAGTATCTGTATGTGGACATTTGGAGCGCTTTCAGGCCTATGGTGAAAAAGGAAATATCTTCCCCTGAAAACTAGACAGAAGCATTCTCAGAATCTTATTTGTGATGTGCGCCCTCAACTAACAGTGTTGAAGCTTTCTTTTGATAGAGCAGTTTTGAAACACTCTTTTTGTAAAATCTGCAAGAGGATATTTGGATAGCTTTGAGGATTTCGTTGGAAACGGGATTGTCTTCATATATACTCTAGACAGAAGCATTCTCAGAAGCTTCATTGGGATGTTTCAATTGAAGTCACAGTGTTGAACAGTCCCTTTCATAGAGCAGGTTTGAAACACTCTTTTTGTAGTATCTGGATGTGGACATTTGGAGCGCTTTCAGGCCTATGGTTTAAAAGGAAATATCTTCCCCTGAAAACTAGACAGAAGCATTCTCAGAAACTTATTTGTGATGTGCGCCCTCAACTAACAGAGTTGAAGCATTCTTTTGATAGAGCAGTTTTGAAACACTCTTTTTGTGGAATCTGCAAGTAGATATTGTCTAGCTTTGAGGATTTCGTTGGAAACGGGATTACATATAAAAAGCAGACAGCAGCATTCTCAGAAACTTATTTGTGATGTGCGCCCTCAACTAACAGTGTTGAAGCTTTCTTTTGATAGAGCAGTTTTGAAACACTCTTTTTGTAATATCTGCAAGAGGATATTTGGATAGCTTTGAGGATTTCGTTGGAAACGGGATTAATTATACAAAGCAGACAGCAGCATTCTCAGAAGCTTCATTGGGATGTTTCAATTGAAGTCACAGTGTTGAACAGTCCCTTTCATAGAGCAGGTTTGAAACACTCTTTTTGTAGTATCTGGAAGTGGACATTTGGAGAGATCTCAGGAATACGGTGATAAAGGAAATATCTTCCAATAAAAGCTAGATAGAAGCAATGTCAGAAACTTTTTCATGATGTATCTGCTCAGCTAACAGGGTTGAACCTTTCTTTTGAGAGAGCAGTTTTGAAACACTCTTTTTGTGGAATCTGCAAGTGGATATTTGTCTAGCTTTGAGGATTTCGTTGGAAACGGGATTACATATAAAAAGCAGACAGCAGCATTCCCAGAATCTTGTTTGTGATGTTTGCATTCAAGTCACAGAGTTGAACATTCCCTTTCAGAGAGCAGGTTTGAAACACTCTTTTTATAGTATCTGGATGTGGACATTTGGAGCACTTTCAGGCCTATGGTGAAAAAGGAAATATCTTCCCCTGAAAACTAGACAGAAGCATTCTCAGAATCTTATTTCTGATGTGCGCCCTCAACTAACAGGGTTGAAGCTTTCTTTTGATAGAGCAGTTTTGAAACACTCTTTTTGTAAAATCTGCAAGAGGATATTTGGATAGCTTTGAGGATTTCGTTGGAAACGGGATTGTCTTCATATAAACTCTAGAAAGAAGCATTCTCAGAAGCTTCATTGGGATGTTTCAGTTGAAGTCACAGTGTTGAACAGTCCCTTTCATAGAGCAGGTTTGAAACACTCTTTTTGTAGTATCTGGAAGTGGACATTTGGAGCGCTCTCAGGACTGCGGTGAAAAAGGAAATATCTTCCAATAAAAGCTAGATAGAAGCAATGTCAGAAACTTTTTCATGATGTATGTACTCAGCTAACAAATTTGAACTTTCCTTTGAGAGAGCAGTTTTGAAACACTCTTTTTGTGGAATCTGCAAGTGGATATTTGTCTAGCTTTGAGGATTTCGTTGGAAATGGGATTACATAAAAAAAGCAGACAGCAGCATTCCCAGAATCTTGTTTGTGATGTTTGCATTCAAGTCACAGAGTTGAACATTCCCTTTCAGAGAGCAGGTTTGAAACACTCTTTTTATAGTATCTGGATGTGGACATTTGGAGCGCTTTCAGGCCTATGGTGAAAAAGGAAATATCTTCTCCTGAAAACTAGACAGAAGCATTCTCAGAATCTTATTTGTGATGTGCGCCCTCAACTAACAGTGTTGAAGCTTTCTTTTGATAGAGCAGTTTTGAAACACTCTTTTCGTAAAATCTGCAAGAGGATATTTGGATAGCTTTGAGGATTTCGTTGGAAACGGGATTGTCTTCATATAAACTCTAGACAGAAGCATTCTCAGAAGCTTCATTGGGATGTTTCAATTGAAGTCACAGTGTTGAACAGTTCCTTTCATAGAACAGGTTTGAAACACACTTTTTGTAGTATCTGGAAGTGGACATTTGGAGCGCTCTCAGGACTATGGTGAAAAAGGAAATATCTTCCAATAAAAGCTACATAGAAGCAATGTCAGAAACTTTTTCATGATGTATCTACTCAGCTAACAGAGTTGAACCTTTCCTTTGAGAGAGCAGTTTTGAAACACTCTTTTTGTGGAATCTGCAAGTGGATATTTGTCTAGCTTTGAGGATTTCGTTGGAAACGGGATTACATATAAAAAGCAGACAGCAGCATTCCCAGTAACTTCTTTGTGATGTTTGCATTCAAGTCACAGAGTTGAACATTCCCTTTCATAGAGCAGGTTTGAAACACTCTTTTTGAAGTATCTGGATGTGGACATTTGGAGCGCTTTCAGGCCTATGGTGAAAAAGGAAATATCTTCCCCTGAAAACTAGACAGAAGCATTCTCAGAAACTTATTTGTGATGTGCGCCCTCAACTAACAGTGTTGAACCTTTCTTTTGATAGAGCAGTTTTGAAACACTCTTTTTGTAAAATCTGCAAGAAGATATTTGGATAGCTTTGAGGATTTCGTTGGAAACGGGATTGTCTTCATATAAACTCTAGACAGAAGCATTCTCAGAAACTTCATTGGGATGTTTCTATTGAAGTCGCAGTGTTGAACAGTCCCTTTCATGGAGTAGGTTTGAAACACTCTTTTTGTAGTATCTGGACGTGGACATTTGTAGCGCTTTCAGGGCTATATTGAAAAAGGAAATATCTTCCCATAAAAACTAGACAGAAGCATTCTCTGAAACTAGTTTCTGAGATGTGTCCTCAACTAACAGAGTTGAACATTTCTTTTGACAGAACAGTTTTGAAACACTCTTTTTGTGGAATCTGCAAGTGGATACTTTGCTGGCTTTGAGGATTTCGTTGGAAACGGGAATACATATAAAAAGCAGACAGCAGCGTTGTGAGAAACTTCTTTGTGATGTTTGCATTCAAGTCACAGAGTTGAACGTTCCGTATCATAGAGCAGGTTGGAAACATGCCTTTTGTCATATCTGGAAGTGTCCATTTGAAGCGCATTCAACCTTGTGTTGAAAAAGGAAATACCTTCCAATAGAAACCAGACAGAAGCATTCTCAGAAACTTATTTGTGATGTGCACCCTCAACTAACAGTGTTGAAGCTTTCTTTTGACAGAGCAGTTTGAAACACTCTTTTTGTAAAATCTGCAAGAGGATATTTGGATTGCTTTGAGGATTTCGGAGGAAATGGGATTGTCTTCATATAAACTCTAGACAGTAGCATTCTCAGAAGCTTCATTGGGATGTTTCAATTGAAGTCACAGTGTTGAACAGTCCGTTTCATAGAGCAGGTTTGAAACACTCTTTTTGTAGTATCTGGAAGTGGACATTTGGAGCGCTCTCAGGACTACGGTGAAAAAGGAAATATCTTCCAATAAAAGCTAGATAGAAGCAATGTCAGAAACTTTTTCATGATGTATCTACTCAGCTAACAGAGTTGAACCTTTTTTTTGAGAGAGCAGTTTTGAAACACTCTTTTTGTTCGATCTGCAGGTGGATATTTGTCTAGGTTTGAGGATTTCGTTGGAAACGGGATTACATATAAAAAACAGACAGCAGCATTCCCAGAAACTTCTTTGTGATGTTTGCATTCAAGTCACAGAGTTGAACATTCCCTTTCATAGAGCAGGTTTGAAACACTATTTTTGTAGTATCTGGATGTGGACATTTGGAGCGCTCTCAGGCCTATGGTGAAAAAGGAAATATCTTCCCCTGCAAACTAGACAGAAGCATTCTCAGAAACTTATTTGTGATGTGGGCCCTCAACTAACAATGTTGAACCTTTCTGTTGATAGAGTAGTTTTGAAACACTCTTTTTGTAAAATCTGCAAGAGGATATTTGGATAGCTTTGAGGATTTCGTTGGAAACGGGATTGTCTTCATATTAACCCTAGACAGTAGCATTCTCAGAAGCTTCATTGGGATGTTTCAATTGAAGTCACAGTGTTGAACAGTCCCTTTCATAGAGCAGGTTTGAAACACTCTTTTTGTAGTATCTGGATGTGGACATTTGGAGCGCTTTCAGGCCTATGGTGAAAAAGGAAATATCTTCCCCTGAAAACTAGACAGAAGCATTCTCAGAAACTTATTTGTGATGTGCGCCCTCAACTAACAGTGTTGAAGCTTTCTTTTGATAGAGCAGTTTTGAAACACTCTTTTTGTGGAATCTGCAAGTGGATATTTGTCTAGCTTTGAGGATTTCGTTGGAAACGGGATTACATATAAAAAGCAGACAGCAGCATTCCCAGAATCTTGTTTGTGATGTTTGCATTCATGTCACAGAGTTGAACATTCCCTTTCAGAGAGCAGGTTTGAAACACTCTTTTTATAGTATCTGGATGTGGACATTTGGAGCGCTTTCAGGCCTATGGTGAAAAAGGAAATATCTTCTCCTGAAAACTAGACAGAAGCATTCTCAGAATCTTATTTGTGATGTGCGCCCTCAACTAACAGTGTTGAAGCTTTCTTTTGATAGAGCAGTTTTGAAACACTCTTTTTGTAAAATCTGCAAGAGGATATTTGGATAGCTTTGAGGATTTCGTTGGAAACGGGATTGTCTTCATATAAACTCTAGACAGAAGCATTCTCAGAAGCTTCATTGGGATGTTTCAATTGAAGTCACAGTGTTGAACAGTCCCTTTCATAGAGCAGGTTTGAAACACTCTTTTTGTAGTATCTGGAAGTGGACATTTGGAGCGCTCTCAGGACTACGGTGAAAAAGGAAGTATCTTCCAATAAAAGCTAGATAGAAGCAATGTCAGAAACTTTTTCATGATGTATCTACTCAGCTAACAGAGTTAAACCTTTCTTTTGAGAGAGCAGTTTTGAAACACTCTTTTTGTGGAATCTGGAAGTGGATATTTGTCTAGCTTTGAGGATTTCGTTGGAAACGGGATTACATATAAAAAGCAGACAGCAGCATTCCCAGTAACTTCTTTGTGATGTTTGCATTCAAGTCACAGAGTTGAACATTCCCTTTCATAGAGCAGGTTTGAAACACTCTTTTTGTAGTATCTGGATGTGGACATTTGGAGCGCTTTCAGGCCTATGGTGAAAAAGGAAATATCTTCCCCTGAAAACTAGACAGAAGCATTCTCAGAAACTAATTTGTGATGTGCGACCTCAACTAACAGTGTTGAAGCTTTCTTTTGATAGAGCAGTTTTGAAACACTCTTTTTGTAATATCTGCAAGAGGATATTTGGATATCTTTGAGGATTTCGTTGGAAACGGGATTGTCTTCATATAAACTCTAGACAGAAGCATTCTCAGAAGCTTCATTGGGATGTTTCAATTGAAGTCACAGTGTTGAACAGTCCCTTTCATAGAGCAGGTTTGAAACACTCTTTTTGTAGTATCTGGAAGTGGACATTTGGAGAGATCTCAGGAATACGGTGATAAAGGAAATATCTTCCAATAAAAGCTAGATAGAAGCAATGTCAGAAACTTTTTCATGATGTATCTACTCAGCTAAAAGAGTTGAACCTTTCTTTTGTGAGAGCAGTTTTGAAACACTATTTTTGTGGAATCTGCAAGTGGATATTTGTCTAGCTTTGAGGATTTCGTTGGAAACGGGATTACATATAGAAAGCAGACAGCAGCGTTCCCAGAAACTTCTTTGGGAAATTTGCATTCAAGTCACAGACTTGAGCATTCCCTTTCATAGAGCAGGTTTGAAACACTGTTTTTGTAGTATCTGGATGTGGACGTTTGGAGCGCTTTCAGGCCTATGGTGAAAAAGGAAATATCTTCCCCTGAAAACTATACAGAAGCATTCTCAGAAACTTATTTGTGATGTGCGCCCTGAACTAACAGTGTTGAACCTTTCTTTTGATAGAGCAGTTTTGAAACACTCTTTTTGTAAAATCTGCAAGAGGATATTTGGATAGCTTTGAGGATTTCGTTGGAAACGGGATTGTCTTCATATAGAATCTAGACAGAAGCATTCTCAGAAGCTTCATTCGGATGTTTCAATTGAAGTCACAGTGTTGAACAGTCCCTTTCATAGAGCATGTTTGAAACACTCTTTTTGTAGTATCTGGAAGTGGACATTTGGAGCGTTCTCAGGACTACAGTGAAAAAGGAAATATCTTCCAATAAAAGCTAGATAGAAGCAATGTCAGAAACTTTTTCATGATGTATCTACTCAGCTAACAGAGTTGAACCTTTCTTTTGAGACAGCAGTTTTGAAACAGTCTTTTTGTGGAATCTGGAAGTGGATATTTGTCTAGCTTTGAGGATTTCGTTGGAAACGGGATTACATATAAAAAGCAGACAGCAGCATTCCCAGTAACTTCTTTGTGATGTTTGCATTCAAGTCACAAAGTTGAACATTCCCTTTCATAGAGCAGGTTTGAAACACTCTTTTTGTAGTATCTGGATGTGGACATTTGGAGCACTTTCAGGCCTATGGTGAAAAAGGAAATATCTTCCCCTGAAAACTAGACAGAAGCATTCTCAGAATCTTATTTGTGATGTGTGCCCTCAACTAACAGTGTTGAACCTTTCTTTTGATAGAGCAGTTTTGAAACACTCTTTTTGTAAAATCTGCAAGAGGATATTTGGATAGCTTTGAAGATTTCGTTGGAAACGGGATTGTCTTCATATAAACTCTAGACAGAAGCATTCTCAGAAGCTTCATTGGGATGTTTCAATTGAAGTCACAGTGTTGAACAGTCCCTTTCATAGAGGAGGTTTGAAACACTCTTTTTGTAGTATCTGGAAGTGGACATTTGGAGTGATCTCAGGAATACGGTGATAAAGGAAATATCTTCCAATAAAAGCTAGATAGAAGCAATGTCAGAAACTTTTTCATGATGTATCTACTCAGCTAACAGAGTTGAACCTTCCTTTGAGAGAGCAGTTTTGAAACACTCTTTTTGTGGAATCTGCAAGTGGATATTTGTCTAGCTTTGAGGATTTCGCTGGAAACGGGATTTCATATAAAAACAGACAGCAGCATTCCCAGAAACTTCTTTGTGATGTTTGCATTCAAGTCACAGAGTTGAACATTCCCTTTCATAGAGCAGGTTTGAAACACTCTTTTTGTAGTATCTGGATGTGGACCTTTGGAGCGCTTTCAGGCCTATGGTGAAAAAGGAAATATCTTCCCCTGAAAACTAGACAGAAGCATTCTCAGAATCTTATTTGTGATGTGCGCCCTCAACTAACAGTGTTGAAGCTTTCTTTTGATAGAGCAGTTTTGAAACACTCTTTTTGTAAAATCTGCAAGAGGATATTTGGATAGCTTTGAGGATTTCGTTGGAAACGGGATTGTCTTCATATAAACTCTAGACAGAAGCATTCTCAGAAGCTTCATTGGGATGTTTCAATTGAAGTCACAGTGTTGAACAGTCCCTTTCATAGAGCAGGTTTGAAACACTCTTTTTGTAGTATCTGGAAGTGGACATTTGGAGCGCTCTCAGGACTACGGTGAAAAAGGAAATATCTTCCAATAAAAGCTAGATAGAAGCAATGTCAGAAACTTTTTCATGACGTATCTACTCAGCTAACAGAGTTGAACCTTTCTTTTGAGAGAGCAGTTTTGAAATACTCTTTTTGTGGAATCTGCAAGTGGATATTTGTCTAGCTTTGAGGATTTCGTTGGAAACGGGATTACATATAAAAAGCAGACAGCAGCATTCCCAGTAACTTCTTTGTGATTTTTGCATTCAAGTCACAGAGTTGAACATTCCCTTTCATAGAGCAGGTTTGAAACACTCTTTTTGTAGTATCTGTATGTGGACATTTGGAGCGCTTTCAGGCCTATGGTGAAAAAGGAAATATCTTCTCCTGAAAACTAGACAGAAGCATTCTCAGAATCTTATTTGTGATGTGCGCCCTCAACTAACAGTGTTGAAGCTTTCTTTTGATAGAGCAGTTTTGAAACACTCTTTTTGTAAAATCTGCAAGAGGATATTTGGATAGCTTTGAGGATTTCGTTGGAAACGGGATTGTCTTCATATAAACTCTAGACAGAAGCATTCTCAGAAGCTTCATTGGGATGTTTCAATTGAAGTCACAGTGTTGAACAGTCCCTTTCATAGAGCAGGTTTGAAACACTCTTTTTGTAGTATCTGGAAGTGGACATTTGGAGAGATCTCAGGAATACGGTGATAAAGGAAATATCTTCCAATAAAAGCTAGATAGAAGCAATGTCAGACACTTTTTCATGATGTATCTACTCAGCTAACAGAGTTCAACCTTTCTTTCGAGAGAGCAGTTTTGAAACACTCTTTTTGTGGAATCTGCAAGTGGATATTTGTCTAGCTTTGAGGATTTCGTTGGAAACGGGATTACATATAAAAAGCAGACAGCAGCATTCCCAGAAACTTCTTTGTGATGTTTGCATTCAAGTCACAGAATTGAACATTCCCTTTCATAGAGCAGGTTTGAAACACTCTTTTTGTAGTATCTGGATGTGGACATTTGCAGCGCTTTCAGGCCTAAGGTGAAAAAGGAAATATCTTCCCCTGAAAACTAGACAGAAGCATTCTCAGAAACTTATTTGTGATGTGCGCCCTCAACTAACAGTGTTGAAGCTTTCTTTTGATAGAGCAGTTTTGAAACACTCTTTTTGTAATATCTGCAAGAGGATATTTGGATAGTTTGAGGATTTCGTTGGAAACGGGATTGTCTTCATATAAACTCTAGACAGAAGCATTCTCAGAAGCTTCATTGGGATGTTTCAATTGAAGTCACAGTGTTGAACAGTCCCTTTCATAGAGCAGGTTTGAAACACTCTTTTTGTAGTATCTGGATGTGGACATTTGGAGCGCTTTCAGGCCTATGGTTTAAAAGGAAATATCTTCCCCTGAAAACTAGACAGAAGCATTCTCAGAAACTTATTTGTGATGTGCGCCCTAAACTAACTGTGTTGAAGCTTTCTTTTGATAGAGCAGTTTTGAAACACTCTTTTTGTAATATCTGCAAGAGGATATTTGGATAGCTTTGAGGATTTCGTTGGAAACGGGATTAATTATAAAAAGCAGACAGCAGCATTCTCAGCAAACTTATTTGTGATGTGCGCCCTCAACTAACAGTGTGGAACTTTTCTTTTGATAGAGCAGTTTTGAAACACTCTTTTTGTAAAATCTGCAAGAGGATATTTGGATAGCTTTGAGGATTTCGTTGGAAACGGGATTGTCTTCATATAGAATCTAGACAGAAGCATTCTCAGAAGCTTCATTGGGATGTTTCAATTGAAGTCACAGTGTTGAACAGTCCCTTTCATAGAGCAGGTTTGAAACACTCTTTTTGTAGTATCTGGAAGTGGACATTTGGAGCGCTCTCAGGACTACGGTGAAAAAGGAAGTATCTTCCAATAAAAGCTAGATAGAAGCAATGTCGGAAACTTTTTCATGTTGTATCTACTCAGCTAACAGAGTTGAACCTTTCTTTTGAGAGAGCAGTTTTGAAACACTCTTTTTGTGGAATCTGCAAGTGGATATTTGTCTAGCTTTGAGGATTTCGTTGGAAACGGGATTACATATAAAAAGCAGACAGCAGCATTACCAGTAACTTCTTTGTGAAGTTTGCATTCAAGTCACAGAGTTGAACATTCCCTTTCATAGAGCAGGTTTGAAACACTCTTTTTGTAGTATCTGGATGTGGACATTTGGAGCGCTTTCAGGCCTATGGTGAAAAAGGAAATATCTTCCCCTGAAAACTAGACAGAAGCATTCTCAGAATCTTATTTGTGATGTGCGCCCTCAACTAACAGTGTTGAAGCTTTCTTTTGATAGAGCAGTTTTGAAACACTCTTTTTGTAAAATCTGCAAGAGGATATTTGGATAGCTTTGAGGATTTCGTTGGAAACGGGATTGTCTTCATATAAACTCTAGACAGTAGCATTCTCAGAAGCTTCATTGGGATGTTTCAATTGAAGTCACAGTGTTGAACAGTCCCTTTCATAGAGCAGGTTTGAAACACTCTTTTTGTAGTATCTGGAAGTGGACATTTTGAGCGCTCTCAGGACTACGGTGAAAAAGGAAATATCTTCCAATAAAAGCTAGATAGAAGCATTCTCAGAAACTTATTTGTGATGTGTGTACTCAACTAACAGAGTTGAACCTTTCTTTTGAGAGAGCAGTTTTGAAACACTCTTTTTGTGGAATCTGCAAGTGGATATTTGTCTAGCTTTGAGGATTTCGTTCGAAACGGGATTACATATAAAAAGCAGACAGCAGCATTCTCAGAAACTTATGTGTGATGTGCGCCCTCAACTAACAGTGTTGAACCTTTCTTTTGATAGAGCAGTTTTGAAACACCCTTTTTGTAAAATCTGCAAGAGGATATTTGGATAGCTTTGAGGATTTCGTTGGAAACGGGATTGTCTTCATATAAACTCTAGACAGAAGCATTCTCAGAAGCTTCATTGGGATGTTTCAATTGAAGTCACAGTGTTGAACAGTCCCTTTCATAGAGCAGGTTTGAAACACTCTTTTTGTAGTATCTGGAAGTGGACATTTGGAGAGATCTCAGGAATACGGTGATAAAGGAAATATCTTCCAATAAAAGCTAGATAGAAGCAATGTCAGAAACTTTTTCCTGATGTATCTACTCAGCTAACAGAGTTGAACCTTTCTTTTGAGAGAGCAGTTTTGAAACACTCTTTTTGTGGAATCTGCAAGTGGATATTTGTCTAGCTTTGAGGATTTCGTTGGAAACGGGATTACATATAAAAAGCAGACAGCAGCATTCCCAGTAACTTCTTTGTGATGTTTGCATTCAAATCACAGAGTTGAACATTCCCTTTCATAGAGCAGGTTTGAAACACTCTTTTTGTAGTATCTGGATGTGGACATTTGGAGCGCTTTCAGGCCTATTGTGAAAAAGGAAATATCTTCCCCTGAAAACTATACAGAAGCATTCTCAGAATCTTATTTGTGATGTGCGCCCTCAACTAACAGTGTTGAAGCTTTCTTTTGATAGAGCAGTTTTGAAACACTCTTTTTGTAAAATCTGCAAGAGAATATTTGGATAGCTTTGAGGATTTCGTTGGAAACGGGATTGTCTTCATATAAACTCTAGACAGAAGCATTCTCAGAAGCTTCATTGGGATGTTTCAATTGAAGTCACAGTGTTGAACAGTCCCTTTCATAGAGCAGGTTTGAAACACTCTTTTTGTAGTATCTGGATGTGGACATTTGGAGCGCTTTCAGGCCTATGGTTTAAAAGGAAATATCTTCCCCTGAAAACTAGACAGAAGCATTCTCAGAAACTTATTTGTGATGTGCGCCCTCAACTAACAGTGTTGAAGCTTTCTTTTGAGAGAGCAGTTTTGAAACACTCTTTTTGTGGAATCTGCAAGTGGATATTTGTCTAGCTTTGAGGATTTCGTTGGAAACGGGATTACATATAAAAAGCAGACAGCAGCATTCTCAGAAACTTATTTGTGATGTGCGCCCTCAACTAACAGTGTTGAAGCTTTCTTTTGATAGAGCAGTTTTGAAACACTCTTTTTGTAATATCTGCAAGAGGATATTTGGATAGCTTTGAGGATTTCGTTGGAAACGGGATTAATTATACAAAGCAGACAGCAGCATTCTCAGAAGCTTCATTGGGATGTTTCAATTGAAGTCACAGTGTTGAACAGTCCCTTTCATAGAGCAGGTTTGAAACACTCTTTTTGTAGTATCTGGAAGTGGACATTTGGAACGCTCTCAGGACTGCGGTGAAAAAGGAAATATCTTCCAATAAAAGCTACATAGAAGCAATGTCAGAAACTTTTTCATGATGTATCTACTCAACTAACAGTGTTGAAGCATTCTTTTGATAGAGCAGTTTTGAAACACTCTTTTTGTTGGATCTGCAAGTGGATATTTGTCTAGCTTTGAGGATTTCGTTGGAAACGGGATTACATATAAAAAGCAGACAGCAGCATTCCCAGAAACTTCTTTGTGATATTTGCATTCAAGTCACAGACTTGAACATTCCCTTTCATAGAGCAGGTTTGAAACACTCTTTTTGTAGTATCTGGATGTGGACATTTGGAGCGCTTTCAGGCCTATGGTGAAAAAGGAAATATCTTCCCCTGAAAACTAGACAGAAGCATTCTCAGAAACTTATTTGTGATGTGCGCCCTCAACTAACAGTGTTGAACTTTTCTTTTGATAGAGCAGTTTTGAAACACTCTTTTTGTAAAATCTGCAAGAGGATATTTGGATAGCTTTGAGGATTTCGTTGGAAACGGGATTGTCTTCATATAAAATCTAGACAGAAGCATTCTCAGAAGCTTCATAGGGATGTTTCAATTGAGGTCACAGTGTTGAACAGTCCCTTTCATAGAGCATGTTTGAAACAATCTTTTTGTAGTATCTGGAAGTGGACATTTGGAGCGCTCTCAGGACTACGGTGAAAAAGGAAATATCTTCCAAATAAAGCTAGATAGAAGCAATGTCAGAAAATTTCTCATGATGTATCTATTCAGCTAACAGAGTTGAACCTTTCTTTTGTGAGAGCAGTTTTGAAACACTATTTTTGTGGAATCTGCAAGTGGATATTTGTCTAGCTTTGAGGATTTCGTTGGAAACGGGATTACATATAGAAAGCAGACAGCAGCGTTCCCAGAAACTTCTTTGTGAAATTTGCATTCAAGTCACAGACTTGAGCATTCCCTTTCATAGAGCAGGTTTGAAACACTGTTTTTGTAGTATCTGGATGTGGACGTTTGGAGCGCTTTCAGGCCTATGGTGAAAAAGGAAATATCTTCCCCTGAAAACTAGACAGAAGCATTCTCAGAAACTTATTTGTGATGTGCGCCCTCAACTAACAGTGTTGAACCTTTCTTTTGATAGAGCAGTTTTGAAACACTCTTTTTGTAAAATCTGCAAGAGGATATTTGGATAGCTTTGAGGATTTCGTTGGAAACGGGATTGTCTTCATATAGAATCTAGACAGAAGCATTCTCAGAAGCTTCATTCAGATGTTTCAATTGAAGTCACAGTGTTGAACAGTCCCTTTCATAGAGCATGTTTGAAACACTCTTTTTGTAGTATCTGGAAGTGGACATTTGGAGCGTTCTCAGGACTACAGTGAAAAAGGAAATATCTTCCAATAAAAGCTAGATAGAAGCAATGTCAGAAACTTTTTCATGATGTATCTACTCAGCTAACAGAGTTGAACCTTTCTTTTGAGAGAGCAGTTTTGAAACACTCTTTTTGTGGAATCTGCAAGTGGATATTTGTCTAGCATTGAGGATTTCGTTGGAAACGGGATTACATATAAAAAGCAGACAGCAGCATTCGCAGAAGATTCATTGGAATGTTTCAATTGAAGTCACAGTGTTGAACAGTCCCTTTCATAGAGCAGGTTTGAAACACTCTTTTTGTAGTATCTGGAAGTGGACATTTGGAGCGCTCTCAGGACTATGGCGAAAAAGGAAATATCTTCCAATAAAAGCTACATAGAAGCAATGTCAGAAACTTTTTCATGATGTATCTACTCAGCTAACAGAGTTGAACCTTTCTTTTGAGAGAGCAGTTTTGAAACACTCTTTTTGTGGAATCTGGAAGTGGATATTTGTCTAGCTTTGAGGATTTCGTTGGAAACGGGATTACATATAAAAAGCAGACAGCAGCATTCCCAGAAACTTCTTTGTGTTGTTTGCATTCAAGTCACAGAGTTTAACATTCCCTTTCATAGAGCAGGTTTGAAACACTCTTTTTGTAGTATCTGGATGTGGACATTTGCAGCGCTTTCAGGCCTAAGGTGAAAAAGGAAATATCTTCCCCTGAAAACTAGACAGAAGCATTCTCAGAAACTTATTTGTGATGTGCGCCCTCAACTAACAGTGTTGAAGCTTTCTTTTGATAGAGCAGTTTTGAAACACTCTTTTTGTAATATCTGCAAGAGGATATTTGGATAGCTTTGAGGATTTCGTTGGAAACGGGATTGTCTTCATATAAACTCTAGACAGAAGCATTCTCAGAAGCTTCATTGGGATGTTTCAATTGAAGTTACAGTGTTGAACAGTCCCTTTCATAGAGCAGGTTTGAAACACTCTTTTTGTAGTATCTGGATGTGGACATTTGGAGCGCTTTCAGGCCTATGGTTTAAAAGGAAATATCTTCCCCTGAAAACTAGACAGAAGCATTCTCAGAAACTTATTTGTGATGTGCGCCCTCAACTAACAGTGTAGAAGCTTTCTTTTGATAGAGCAGTTTTGAAACACTCTTTTTGTGGAATCTGCAAGTGGATATTTGTCTAGCTTTGAGGATTTCGTTGGAAATGGGATTACATATAAAAAGCAGACAGCAGCATTCTCAGTAAACTTATTTGTGATGTGCGCCCTCAACTAACAGTGTTGAACCTTTCTTTTGATAGAGCAGTTTTGAAACACTCTTTTTGTAATATCTGCAAGAGGATATTTGGATAGCTTTGAGGATTTCGTTGGAAACGGGATTGTCTTCATATAAACTCTAGACAGAAGCATTCTCAGAAGCTTCATTGGGATGTTTCAATTGAAGTCACAGTGTTGAACAGTCCCTTTCATAGAGCAGGTTTGAAACACTCTTTTTGTAGCATCTGGAAGTGGACATTTGGAGCGCTCTCAGGACTACGGTGAAAAAGGAAATATCTTCCAATAAAAGCTAGATAGAAGCAATGTCAGAAACTTTTTCATGATGTATCTACTCAGCTAACAGAGTTGAACCTTTCTTTTGAGAGAGCAGTTTTGAAACACTCTTTTTGTGGAATCTGCAAGTGGATATTTGTCTAGCATTGAGGATTTCGTTGGAAACGGGATTACATATAAAAAGCAGACAGCAGCATTCCCAGAAACTTCTTTGTGATGTTTGCATTCAAGTCACAGAGTTGAACATTCCCTTTCATAGAGCAGGTTTGAAACACTCTTTTTGTAGTATCTGGATGTGGACATTTGGAGCGCTTTCAGGCCTATGGTGAAAAAGGAAATATCTTCCAATAAAAGCTACATAGAAGCAATGTCAGAAACTTTTTCATGATGTATCTACTCAGCTAACAGAGTTGAACCTTTCTTTTGAGAGAGCAGTTTTGAAACACTCTTTTTGTGTAATCTGAAAGTGGATATTTGTCTAGCTTTGAGGATTTCGTTGGAAACGGGATTACATATAAAAAGCAGACAGCAGCATTCCCAGTAACTTCTTTGTGATGTTTGCATTCAAGTCAGAGAGTTGAACATTCCCTTTCATAGAGCAGGTTTGAAAGACTCTTTTTGAAGTATCTGGATGTGGACATTTGGAGCGCTTTCAGGCCTATGGTGAAAAAGGAAATATCTTCCCCTGAAAACTAGACAGAAGCATTCTCAGAATCTTATTTGTGATGTGCGCCCTCAACTAACAGTGTTGAAGCTTTCTTTTGATAGAGCAGTTTTGAAACACTCTTTTTGTAAAATCTGCAAGAGGATATTTGGATAGCTTTGAGGATTTCGTTGGAAACGGGATTGTCTTCATATAAACTCTAGATAGAAGCATTCTCAGAAGCGTCATTGGGATGTTTCAATTGAAGTCACAGTGTTGAACAGTCCCTTTCATAGAGCAGGTTTGAAACACTCTTTTTGTAGTATCTGGATGTGGACATTTGGAGCGCTTTCAGGCCTATGGTTTAAAAGGAAATATCTTCCCCTGAAAACTAGACAGAAGCATTCTCAGAAACTTATTTGTGATGTGCGCCCTCAACTAACAATGTTGAACCTTTCTTTTGATAGAGCAGTTTTGAAACACTCTTTTTGTGGAATCTGCAAGTGGATGTTTGTCTAGCTTTGAGGATTTCGTTGGAAACCGGATTACATATAAAAAGCAGACAGCAGCATTCCCAGAATCTTGTTTGTGATGTTTGCATTCAAGTCACAGAGTTGAACATTCCCTTTCAGAGAGCAGGTTTGAAACACTCTTTTTATAGTATCTGGATGTGGACATTTGGAGCGCTTTCAGGCCTATGGTGAAAAAGGAAATATCTTCTCCTGAAAACTAGACAGAAGCATTCTCAGAATCTTATTTGTGATGTGCGCCCTCAACTAACAGTGTTGAAGCTTTCTTTTGATAGAGCAGTTTTGAAACACTCTTTTCGTAAAATCTGCAAGAGGATATTTTTATAGCTTTGAGGATTTCGTTGGAAACGGGATTGTCTTCATATAAACTCTAGACAGAAGCATTCTCAGAAGCTTCATTGGGATGTTTCAATTGAAGTCACAGTGTTGAACAGTCCCTTTCATAGAGCAGGTTTGAAACACTCTTTTTGTAGTATCTGGAAGTGGACATTTGGAGAGATCTCAGGAATACGGTGATAAAGGAAATATCTTCCAATAAAAGCTAGATAGAAGCAATGTCAGAAACTTTTTCATGATGTATCTACTCAGCTAACAGAGTTGAACCTTTCTTTTGAGAGAGCAGTTTTGAAACACTCTTTTTGTGGAATCTGCAAGTGGATATTTGTCTAGCTTTGAGGATTTCGTTGGAATCGGGATTACATATAAAAAGCAGACAGCAGCATTCCCAGTAACTTCTTTGTGATGTTTGCATTCAAGTCACAGAGTTGAACATTCCCTTTCATAGAGCAGGTTTGAAACACTCTTTTTGTAGTATCTGGATGTGGACATTTGGAGCGCTTTCAGGCCTATGGTGAAAAAGGAAATATCTTCCCCTGAAAACTAGACAGAAGCATTCTCAGAATCTTATTTGTGATGTGCGCCCTCAACTAACAGTGTTGAAGATTTCTTTTGATAGAGCAGTTTTGAAACACTCTTTTTGTAAAATCTGCAAGAGGATATTTGGATAGCTTTGAGGATTTCGTTGGAAACGGGATTGTCTTCATATAAACTCTAGACAGAAGCATTCTCAGAAGCGTCATTGGGATGTTTCAATTGAAGTCACAGTGTTGAACAGTCCCTTTCATAGAGCAGGTTTGAAACACTCTTTTTGTAGTATCTGGATGTGGACATTTGGAGCGCTTTCAGGCCTATGGTTTAAAAGGAAATATCTTCCCTTGAAAACTAGACAGAAGCATTCTCAGAAACTTATTTGTGATGTGCGCCCTCAACTAACAGTGTTGAAGCATTCTTTTGATAGAGCAGTTTTGAAACACTCTTTTTGTGGAATCTGCAAGTGGATATTTGTCTAGCTTTGAGGATTTCGTTGGAAACGGGATTACATATAAAAAGCAGACAGCAGCATTCCCAGAAACTTCTTTGTGATGTTTGCATTCAAGTCACAGAGTTGAACATTCCCTTTCATAGAGCAGGTTTGAAACACTCTTTTTGTAGTATCTGGATGTGGACATTTGCAGCGCTTTCAGGCCTAAGGTGAAAAAGGAAATATCTTCCCCTGAAAACTAGACAGAAGCATTCTCAGAAACTTATTTGTGATGTGCGCCCTCAACTAACAGTGTTGAAGCTTTCTTTTGATAGAGCAGTTTTGAAACACTCTTTTTGTAATATCTGCAAGAGGATATTTGGATAGCTTTGAGGATTTCGTTGGAAACGGGATTGTCTTCATATAAACTCTAGGCAGAAGCATTCTCAGAAGCTTCATTGGGATGTTTCAATTGAAGTCACAGTGTTGAACAGTTCCTTTCATAGAACAGGTTTGAAACACTCTTTTTGTAGTATCTGGAAGTGGACATTTGGAGCGCTCTCAGGACTACGGTGAAAATGGAAATATCTTCCAATAAAAGCTACATAGAAGCAATGTCAGAAACTTTTTCATGATGTATCTACTCAGCTAACAGAGTTGAACCTTTCCTTTGAGAGAGCAGTTTTGAAACACTCTTTTTGTGGAATCTGCAAGTGGATATTTGTCTAGCTTTGAGGATTTCGTTGGAAACGGGATTACATATAAAAAGCAGACAGCAGCATTCCCAGAATCTTCTTTGTGATGTTTGCATTCAAGTCACAGAGTTGAACATTCCCTTTCATAGAGCAGGTTTCAAACACTCTTTTTGTAGTATCTGGATGTGGACATTTGGAGCGCTTTCAGGCCTATGGTGAAAAAGGAAATATCTTCCCCTGAAAACTAGACAGAAGCATTCTCAGAATCTTATTTGTGATGTGCGCCCTCAACTAACAGTGTTGAAGCTTTCTTTTGATAGAGCAGTTTTGAAACACTCTTTTTGTAAAATCTGCAAGAGGATATTTGGATAGCTTTGAGGATTTCGTTGGAAACGGGATTGTCTTCATATAAACTCTAGACAGAAGCATTCTCAGAAGCTTCATTGGGATGTTTCAATTGAAGTCACGGTGCTGAACAGTCCGTTTCATAGAGCAGGTTTGAAACACTCTTTTTGTAGTATCTGGAAGTGGACATTTGGAGCGCTCTCAGGACTACGGTGAAAAAGGAAATATCTTCCAATAAAAGCTAGATAGAAGCAATGTCAGAAACTTTTTCATGATGTATCTACTCAGCTAACAGAGTTGAACCTTTTTTTTGAGAGAGCAGTTTTGAAACACTCTTTTTGTTCGATCTGCAGGTGGATATTTGTCTAGGTTTGAGGATTTCGTTGGAAACGGGATTACATATAAAAAGCAGACAGCAGCATTCCCAGAAACTTCTTTGTGATGTTTGCATTCAAGTCACAGAGTTGAACATTCCCTTTCATAGAGCAGGTTTGAAACACTCTTTTTGTAGTATCTGGATGTGGACATTTGGAGCGCTCTCAGGCCTATGGTGAAAAAGGAAATATCTTCCCCTGCAAACTAGACAGAAGCATTCTCAGAAACTTATTTGTGATGTGCGCCCTGAACTAACAATGTTGAACCTTTCTGTTGATAGAGTAGTTTTGAAACACTCTTTTTGTAAAATCTGCAAGAGGATATTTGGATAGCTTTGAGGATTTCGTTGGAAACGGGATTGTCTTCATATTAACCCTAGACAGTAGCATTCTCAGAAGGTTCATTGGGATGTTTCAATTGAAGTCACAGTGTTGAACAGTCCCTTTCATAGAGCAGGTTTGAAACACTCTTTTTGTAGCATCTGGAAGTGGACATTTGGAGCGCTCTCAGGACTACGGTGAAAAAGGAAATATCTTCCGATAAAAGCTAGATAGAAGCAATGTCAGAAACTTTTTCATGATGTATCTACTCAGCTAAAAGAGTTGAACCTTTCTTTTGTGAGAGCAGTTTTGAAACACTATTTTTGTGGAACCTGCAAGTGGATATTTGTCTAGCTTTGAGGATTTCGTTGGAAACGGGATTACATATACAAAAGCAGACAGCAGCATTCCCAGTAACTTCTTTGTGATGTTTGCATTCAAGTCACAGAGATGAACATTCCCTTTCATAGAGCAGGTTTGAAACACTCTTTTTGTAGTATCTGGATGTGGACATTTGGAGCGCTTTCAGGCCTATGGTGAAAAAGGAAATATCTTCCCCTGAAAACTAGACAGAAGCATTCTCAGAAACTTATTTGTGATGTGCGCCCTCAACTAACAGTGTTGAAGCTTTCTTTTGATAGAGTAGTTTTGAAACACTCTTTTTGTAAAATCTGCAAGAGGATATTTGGATAGCTTTGAGGATTTCGTTGGAAACGGGATTGTCTTCATATAAACTCTAGACAGTAGCATTCTCAGAAGCTTCATTGGGATGTTTCAATTGAAGTCACAGTGTTGAACAGTCCCTTTCATAGAGCAGGTTTGAAACACTCTTTTTGTAGCATCTGGAAGTGGACATTTGGAGCGCTCTCAGGACTACGGTGAAAAAGGAAATATCTTCCAATAAAAGCTAGATAGAAGCAATGTCAGAAACTTTTTCATGATGTATCTACTCAGCTAAGAGAGTTGAACCTTTCTTTTGAGAGAGCAGTTTTGAAACACTCTTTTTGTGGAATCTGCAAGTGGATATTTGTCTAGCTTTGAGGATTTCGTTGGAAACGGGATTACATATAAAAAGCAGACAGCAGCATTCCCAGAAACTTTTTGTGATGTTTGCATTCAAGTCACAGAGTTGAACATTCCCTTTCATAGAGCAGGTTTGAAACACTCTTTTTGTAGTATCTGTATGTGGACATTTGGAGCGCTTTCAGGCCTATGGTGAAAAAGGAAATATCTTCCCCTGAAAACTAGACAGAAGCATTCTCAGAAACTTATTTGTAATGTGCGCCCTCAACTAACAGTGTTGAACCTTTCTTTTGATAGAGCAGTTTTGAAACACTCTTTTTGTAAAATCTGCAGGAGGATATTTGGATAGCTTTGAGGATTTCGTTGGAAACGGGATTGTCTTCATATAAACTCTAGACAGAAGCATTCTCAGAAGCTTCATTGGGATGTTTCAATTGAAGTCACAGTGTTGAACAGTTCCTTTCATAGAACAGGTTTGAAACACTCTTTTTGTAGTATCTGGAAGTGGACATTTGGAGCGCTCTCAGGACTACGGTGAAAATGGAAATATCTTCCAATAAAAGCTACATAGAAGCAATGTCAGAAACTTTTTCATGATGTATCTACTCAGCTAACAGAGTTGAACCTTTCCTTTGAGAGAGCAGTTTTGAAACACTCTTTTTGTGGAATCTGCAAGTGGATATTTGTCTAGCTTTGAGGATTTCGTTGGAAACGGGATTACATATACAAAGCAGACAGCAGCATTCCCAGAATCTTCTTTGTGATGTTTGCATTCAAGTCACAGAGTTGAACATTCCCTTTCATAGAGCAGGTTTGAAACACTCTTTTTGTAGTATCTGGATGTGGACATTTGGAGCGCTTTCAGGCCTATGGTGAAAAAGGAAATATCTTCCCCTGAAAACTAGACAGAAGCATTCTCAGCAATCTTATATGTGATGTGCGCCCTCAACTAACAGTGTTGAAGCTTTCTTTTGATAGAGCAGTTTTGAAACACTCTTTTTGTAAAATCTGCAAGAGGATATTAGGATAGCTTTGAGGATTTCGTTGGAAACGGGATTGTCTTCATATAAACTCTAGACAGAAGCATTCTCAGAAGCTTCATTGGAATGTTTCAATTGAAGTCACAGTGTTGAACAGTCCCTTTCATAGAGCAGGTTTGAAACACTCTTTTTGTAGTATCTGGATGTGGACATTTGGAGCGCTTTCAGGCCTATGGTTTAAAAGGAAATATCTTCCCCTGAAAACTAGACAGAAGCATTCTCAGAAACTTATTTGTGATGTGCGCCCTCAACTAACAGTGTTGAACCTTTCTTTTGATAGAGCAGTTTTGAAACACTCTTTTTGTAATATCTGCAAGAGGATATTTGGATAGCTTTGAGGATTTCGTTGGAAACGGGATTACATATAAAAAGCAGACAGCAGCATTCCCAGAATCTTGTTTGTGATGTTTGCATTCAAGTCACAGAGTTGAACATTCCCTTTCAGAGAGCAGGTTTGAAACACTCTTTTTATAGTAACTGGATGTGGACATTTGGAGCGCTTTCAGGCCTATGGTGAAAAAGGAAATATCTTCTCCTGAAAACTAGACAGAAGCATTCTCAGAATCTTATTTGTGATGTGCGCCCTCAACTAACAGTGTTGAAGCTTTCTTTTGATAGAGCAGTTTTGAAACACTCTTTTTGTAAAATCTGCAAGAGGATATTTGGATAGCTTTGAGGATTTCGTTGGAAACGGGATTGTCTTCATATAAACTCTAGACAGAAGCATTCTCAGAAGCTTCATTGGGATGTTTCAGTTGAAGTCACAGTGTTGAACAGTCCCTTTCATAGAGCAGGTTTGAAACACTCTTTTTGTAGTATCTGGAAGTGGACATTTGGAGCGCTCTCAGGACTGTGGTGAAAAAGGAAATATCTTCCAATAAAAGCTAGATAGAAGCAATGTCAGAAACTTTTTCATGATGTATCTACTCAGCTAACAGATTTGAACCTTCCTTTGAGAGAGCAGTTTTGAAACACTCTTTTTGTGGAATCTGCAAGTGGATATTTGTCTAGCTTTGAGGATTTCGTTGGAAATGGGATTACATAAAAAAAGCAGACAGCAGCATTCCCAGAAACTTCTTTGTGATGTTTGCATTCAAGTCACTGAGTAGAACATTGCCTTTCATAGAGCACGTTTGAAACACTCTTTATGTAGTATCTGGATGTGGACATTTGGAGCGCTTTCAGGCCTATGGTGAAAAAGGAAATATCTTCCCCTGAAAACTAGACAGAAGCATTCTCAGAAACTTATTTGTGATGTGCGCCCTCAACTAACACTGTTGAACCTTTCTTTTGATAGAGCAGTTTTGAAACACTCTTTTTGTAATATCTGCAAGAGGATATTTGGATAGCTTTGAGGATTTCGTTGGAAACGGGATTGTCTTCATATAAACTCTAGACAGAAGCATTCTCAGAAGCTTCATTGGGAAGTTTCAATTGAAGTCACAGTGTTGAACAGTCCCTTTCATAGAGCAGGTTTGAAACACTCTTTTTGTAGTATCTGGAAGTGGACATTTGGAGCGCTCTCAGGACTACGGTGAAAAACGAAATATCTTCCAATAAAAGCTACATAGAAGCAATGTCAGAAACTTTTTCATGATGTATCTACTCAGCTAACAGAGTTGAACCTTTCTTTTGAGAGAGCAGTTTTGAAACACTCTTTTTGTGGAATCTGCAAGTGGATATTTGTCTAGCTTTGAGGATTTCGTTGGAAACGGGATTACATATAAAAAGCAGACAGCAGCATTCCCAGAAACTTCTTTGTGATGTTTGCATTCAAGTCACAGATTTGAACATTCCCTTTCATAGAGCAGGTTTGAAACACACTTTTTGTAGTATCTGTATGTGGACATTTGGAGCGCTTTCAGGCCTATGGTGAAAAAGGAAATATCTTCCCCTGAAAACTAGACAGAAGCATTCTCAGAAACCTATTTGTGATGTGCGCCCTCAACTAACAGTGTTGAACCTTTCTTTTGATAGAGCAGTTTTGAAACACTCTTTTTGTAATATCTGCAAGAGGATATTTGGATAGCTTTGAGGATTTCGTTGGAAACGGGATTGTCTTCATATAAACTCTAGACAGAAGCATTCTCAGAAGCTTCATTGGGATGTTTCAATTGAAGTCACACTGTTGAACAGTTCCTTTCATAGAACAGGTTTGAAACACTCTTTTTGTAGTATCTGGAAGTGGACATTTGGAGCGCTCTCAGGACTACGGTGAAAAAGGAAATATCTTCCAATAAAAGCTACATAGAAGCAATGTCAGAAACTTTTTCATGATGTATCTACTCAGCTAACAGAGTTGAACCTTTCCTTTGAGAGAGCAGTTTTGAAACACTCTTTTTGTGGAATCTGCAAGTGGATATTTGTCTAGCTTTGAGGATTTCGTTGGAAACGGGATTACATATAAAAAGCAGACAGCAGCATTCCCAGTAACTTCTTTGTGATGTTTGCATTCAAGTCACAGAGTTGAACATTCCCTTTCATAGAGCAGGTTTGAAACACTCTTTTTGTAGTATCTGGATGTGGACATTTGGAGCGCTTTCAGGCCTATGGTGAAAAAGGAAATATCTTCCCCTGAAAACTAGACAGAAGAATTCTCAGAATCTTATTTGTGATGTGCGCCCTCAACTAACATTGTTGAAGCTTTCTTTTGATAGAGCAGTTTTGAAACACTCTTTTTGTTAAATCTGCAAGAGGATATTTGGATAGCTTTGAGGATTTCGTTGGAAACGGGATTGTCTTCATATAAACTCTAGACAGAAGCATTCTCAGAAGCTTCATTGGGATGTTTCAATTGAAGTCACAGTGTTGAACAGTCCCTTTCATAGAGCAGGTTTGAAACACTCTTTTTGTAGTATCTGGAAGTGGACATTTGGAGCGCTCTCAGGACTACGGTGAAAAAGGAACTATCTTCCAATAAAAGCTAGATAGAAGCAATGTCAGAAACTTTTTCATGATGTATCTACTGAGCTAACAGAGTTGAACCTTCCTTTGAGAGAGCAGTTTTGAAACACTCTTTTTGTGGAATCTGCAAGTGGATATTTGTCTAGCTTTGAGGATTTCGTTGGAAACGGGATTACATATAAAAAGCAGACAGCAGCATTCCCAGAAACTTCTTTGTGATGTTTGCATTCAAGTCACAGAGTTGAACATTCCCTTTCATAGAGCAGGTTTGAAACACTCTTTTTGTAGTATCTCTATGTGGACATTTGGAGCGCTTTCAGGCCTATGGTGAAAAAGGAAATATCTTCCCCTGAAAACTAGACAGAAGAATTCTCAGAATCTTATTTGTGATGTGCGCCCTCAACTAACAGTGTTGAAGCTTTCTTTTGATAGAGCAGTTTTGAAACACTCTTTTTGTAAAATCTGCAAGAGGATATTTGGATAGCTTTGAGGATTTCGTTGGAAACGGGATTGTCTTCATATAAACTCTAGACAGAAGCATTCTCAGAAGCGTCATTGGGATGTTTCAATTGAAGTCACAGTGTTGAACAGTCCCTTTCATAGAGCAGGTTTGAAACACTCTTTTTGTAGTATCTGGATGTGGACATTTGGAGCGCTTTCAGGCCTATGGTTTAAAAGGAAATATCTTCCCCTGAAAACTAGACAGAAGCATTCTCAGAAACTTATTTGTGATGTGCGCCTTCAACTAACAGTGTTGAAGCATTCTTTTGATAGAGCAGTTTTGAAACACTCTTTTTGTGGAATCTGCAAGTGGATATTTGTCTAGCTTTGAGGATTTCGTTGGAAACGGGATTACATATAAAAAGCAGACAGCAGCATTCTCAGTAAACTTATTTGTGATGTGCGCCCTCAACTAACAGTGTTGAACCTTTCTTTTGATAGAGCAGTTTTGAAACACTCTTTTTGTAATATCTGCAAGAGGATATTTGGATAGCTTTGAGGATTTCGTTGGAAACGGGATTGTCTTCATATAAACTCTAGACAGAAGCATTCTCAGAAGCTTCATTGGGATGTTTCAATTAAAGTCACAGTGTTGAATATTCCCTTTCATAGAGCAGGTTTGAAACACTCTTTTTGTAGTATCTGGAAGTGGACATTTGTAGCGCTCTCAGGACTATGGTGAAAAAGGAAATATCTTCCAATAAAAGCTAGATAGAAGCAATGTCAGAAACTTTTTTATGATGTATCTGCTCAGCTAACAGAGTTGAACCTTTCTTTTGAGAGAGCAGCTTTGAAGCACTCTTTTTGTGGAATATGCAAGTGGATATTTGTCTAGCTTTGAGGATTTCGTTGGAAACGGGATTACATATAAAAAGCAGACAGCAGCATTCCCAGTAACTTCTTTGTGATGTTTGCATTCAAGTCACAGAGTTGAACATTCCCTTTCATAGAGCAGGTTTGAAACACTCTTTTTGTAGTATCTGGATGTGGACATTTGGAGCGCTTTGAGGCCTATGGTGAAAAAGGAAATATCTTCCCCTGAAAACTAGACAGAAGCATTCTCAGAATTTTATTTGTGATGTGCGCCCTCAACTAACAGTGTTGAAGCTTTCTTTTGATAGAGCAGTTTTGAAACACTCTTTTTGTAAAATCTGCTAGAGGATATTTCGATAGCTTTGAGGATTTCGTTGGAAACGGGATTGTCTTCATATAAACTCTAGACAGAAGCATTCTCAGAAGCTTCATTGGGATGTTTCAATTGAAGTCACAGTGTTGAACAGTCCCTTTCATAGAGCAGGTTTGAAACACTCTTTTTGTAGTATCTGGATGTGGACATTTGGAGCGCTTTCAGGCCTATGGTGAAAAAGGAAATATCTTCCCCTGAAAACTAGACAGAAGCATTCTCAGAAACTTATTTGTGATGTGCGCCCTCAACTAACAGTGTTGAAGCATTCTTTTGATAGAGCAGTTTTGAAACACTCTTTTTGTGGAATCTGCAAGTGGATATTTGTCTAGCTTTGAGGATTTCGTTGGAAACGGGATTACATATAAAAAGCAGACAGCAGCATTCTCAGAATCTTATTTGTGATGTGCGTCCTCAACTAACAGTGTTGAAGCTTTCTTTTGATAGAGCAGTTTTGAAACACTCTTTTCGTAAAATCTGCAAGAGGATATTTTGATAGCTTTGAGGATTTCGTTGGAAACGGGATTGTCTTCATATAAACTCTAGACAGCAGCATTCTCAGAAGCTTCATTGGGATGTTTCAATTGAAGTCACAGTGTTGAACAGTCCCTTTCATAGAGCAGGTTTGAAACACTCTTTTTGTAGTATCTGGAAGTGGACATTTGGAGAGATCTCAGGAATACGGTGATAAAGGAAATATCTTCCAATAAAAGCTAGATAGAAGCAATGTCAGAAACTTTTTCATGATGTATCTACTCAGCTAACAGAGTTGAACCTTTCTTTTGAGAGAGCAGTTTTGAAACACTCTTTTTGTTGAATCTGCAAGTGGATATTTGTCTATCTTTGAGGATTTCGTTGGAATCGGGATTACATATAAAAAGCAGACAGCAGCATTCCCAGAAAATTCTTTGTGAAGTTTGCATTCAAGTCACAGAGTTGAACATTCCCTTTCATAGAGCAGGTTTGAAACACTCTTTTTGTAGTATCTGTATGTGGACATTTGGAGCGCTTTCAGGCCTATGGTGAAAAAGGAAATATCTTCCCCTGAAAACTAGACAGAAGCATTCTCAGAATCTTATTTGTGATGTGCGCCCTCAACTAACAGTGTTGAAGCTTTCTTTTGATAGAGCAGTTTTGAAACACTCTTTTTGTAAAATCTGCAAGAGGATATTTGGATAGCTTTGAGGATTTCGTTGGAAACGGGATTGTCTTCATATAAACTCTAGACAGAAGCATTCTCAGAAGCTGCATTGGGATGTTTCAATTGAAGTCACAGTGTTGAACAGTCCCTTTCATAGAGCAGGTTTGAAACACTCTTTTTGTAGTATCTGGAAGTGGACATTTGGAGCGCTCTCAGGACTACGGTGAAAAAGGAAGTATCTTCCAATAAAAGCTAGATAGAAGCAATGTCAGAAACTTTTTCATGATGTATCTACTCAGCTAACAGAGTTGAACCTTTCCTTTGAGAGAGCAGTTTTGAAACACTCTTTTTGTGGAATCTGCAAGTGGATATTTGTCTAGCTTTGAGGATTTCGTTGGAAACGGGATTACATATAAAAAGCAGACCGCAGCATTCCCAGAAACTTCTTTGTGATGTTTGCATTCAAGTCACAGAGTTGAACATTCCCTTTCAGAGAGCAGGTTTGAAACACTCTTTTTGTAGTATCTGGATGTGGACATTTGGAGCGCTTTCAGGCCTATGGTGAAAAAGGAAATATCTTCCCCTGAAAACTAGACAGAAGCATTCTCAGAATCTTATTTGTGATGTGCGCCCTCAACTAACAGTGTTGAAGCTTTCTTTTGATAGAGCAGTTTTGAAACACTCTTTTTGTAAAATCTGCAAGAGGATATTTGGATAGGTTTGAGGATTTCGTTGGAAACGGGATTGTCTTCATATAAACTCTAGACAGAAGCATTCTCAGAAGCTTCATTGGGATGTTTCAATTGAAGTCACAGTGTTGAACAGTCCCTTTCATAGAGCAGGTTTGAAACACTCTTTTTGTAGTATCTGGAAGTGGACATTTGGAGCGCTCTCAGGACTGCGGTGAAAAAGGAAATATCTTCCAACAAAAGCTACATAGAAGCAATGTCAGAAACTTTTTCATGATGTATCTACTCAGCTAACAGAGTTGAACCTTCCTTTGAGAGAGCAGTTTTGAAACACTCTTTTTGTGGAATCTGCAAGTGGATATTTGTCTAGCTTTGAGGATTTCGTTGGAAACGGGATTACATATAAAAAGCAGACAGCAGCATTCCCAGAAACTTCTTTGTGATGTTTGCATTCAAGTCACAGAGTTGAACATTCCCTTTCATAGAGCAGGTTTGAAACACTCTTTTTGTAGTATCTGGATGTGGACATTTGGAGCGCTTTCTGGCCTATGGTGAAAAAGGAAATATCTTCCCATGAAAACTAGACAGAAGCATTCTCAGAAACTTATTTGTGATGTGCGCCCTCAACTAACAGTGTTAAACCTTTCTTTTGATAGAGTAGTTTTGAAACACTCTTTGTAAAATCTGCAAGAGGATATTTTGATAGCTTTGAGGATTTCTTTGGAAACGGGATTGTCTTCATATAAAATCTAGACAAAAGCATTCTCAGAAGCTTCATTGGGATGTTTCAATTGAAGTCACAGTGTTGAACAGTCCCTTTCATAGAGCAGGTTTGAAACACTCTTTTTGTAGTATCTGTAAGTGGACATTTGGAGCGCTCTCAGGACTACGGTGATAAAGGAAATATCTTCCCCTGAAAACTAGACAGAAGCATTCTCAGAAACTTATTTGTGATGTGCGCCCTCAACTAACAGTGTTGAAGCTTTCTTTTGATAGAGCAGTTTTGAAACACTCTTTTTGTGGAATCTGCAGGTGGATATTTGTCTAGCTTTGAGGATTTCGTTGGAAACGGGATTACATATAAAAAGCAGACAGCAGCATTCTCAGAATCTTATTTGTGATGTGCGCCCTCAACTAACAGTGTTGAAGCTTTCTTTCGATAGAGCAGTTTTGAAACACTCTTTTTGTAAAATCTGCAAGAGGATATTTGGATAGCTTTGAGGATTTCGTTGGAAACGGGATTGTCTTCATATTAACCCTAGACAGTAGCATTCTCAGAAGCTTCATTGGGATGTTTCAATTGAAGTCACAGTGTTGAACAGTCCCTTTCATAGAGCAGGTTTGAAACACTCTTTTTGTAGCATCTGGAAGTGGACATTTGGAGCGTTCTCAGGACTACGGTGAAAAAGGAAATATCTTCCAATAAAAGCTAGATAGAAGCAATCTCAGAAACTTTTTCATGATGTATCTACTCAGCTAACAGAGTTGAACCTTTCTTTTGAGAGAGCAGTTTTGAAACACTCTTTTTGTGGAATATGCAAGTGGATATTTGTCTAGCTTTGAGGATTTCGTTGGAAACGGGATTACATATAAAAAGCAGACAGCAGCATTCCCAGAAACTTCTTTGTGATATTTGCATTCAAGTCACAGTCTTGAACATTCCCTTTCATAGCGCAGGTTTGAAACACTCTTTTTGAAGTATCTGGATGTGGACATTTGGAGCGCTTTCAGGCCTATGGTGAAAAAAGAAATATGTTCCCCTGAAAACTAGACAGAAGAATTCTCAGAATCTTATTTGTGATGTGCGCCCTCAACTAACAGTGTTGAAGCTTTCTTTTGATAGAGCAGTTTTGAAACACTCTTTTTGTAAAATCTGCAAGAGGATATTTAGATAGCTTTGAGGATTTCGTTGGAAACGGGATTGTCTTCATATAAACTCTAGACAGAAGCATTCTCAGAAGCTTCATTGGGATGTTTCAATTGAAGTCACAGTGTTGAACAGTCCCTTTCATAGAGCAGGTTTGAAACACTCTTTTTGTAGTATCTGGATGTGGACATTTGGAGCGCTTTCAGGCCTATGGTTTAAAAGGAAATATCTTCCCCTGAAAACTAGACAGAAGCATTCTCTGAAACTTATTTGTGATGTGTGTACTCAACTAACAGAATTGAACCATCGTTTTGAAAGAGCAATTTTGAAACACTCTTTTTCTGGAATCTGCAAGTCGATATTTGTCTAGCATTGAGGATTTCGTTGGAAACGGGATTACAAATAAAAAGCAGACAGCAGCATTCCCAGAAACATCTTTGCGATGTTTGCATTCAAGTCACAGAGTTTAACATTCCCTTTCATAGAGCAGGTTTGAAACACTCTTTTTGTAGTATCTGGATGTGGACATTTGGAGCGCTTTCAGGCCTATGGTGAAAAAGGAAATATCTTCCCCTGAAAACTAGACAGAAGCATTCTCAGAATCTTATTTGTGATGTGCGCCCTCAACTAACAGAGTTGAAGCTTTCTTTTGATAGAGCAGTTTTGAAACACTCTTTTTGTAAAATCTGCAAGAGGATATTTGGATAGCTTTGAGGATTTCGTTGGAAACGGGATTGTCTTCATATAAACTCTAGACAGAAGCATTCTCAGAAGCTTCATTGGGATGTTTCAATTGAAGTCACAGTGTTGAACAGTCCCTTTCATAGAGCAGGTTTGAAACACTCTTTTTGTAGTATCTGGATGTGGACATTTCGAGCGCTTTCAGGCCTATGGTGAAAAAGGAAATATCTTCCCCTGAAAACTAGACAGAAGCATTCTCAGAAACTTATTTGTGATGTGCGCCCTCAACTAACAGTGTTGAAGCTTTCTCTTGATAGAGCAGTTTTGAAACACTCTTTTTGTGGAATCTGCACGTGGATATTTGTCTAGCTTTGAGGATTTCGTTGGAAACGGGATTACATATAAAAAGCAGACAGCAGCATTCCCAGAATCTTCTTTGTGATGTTTGCATTCAAGTCACAGAGTTGAAAATTCCCTTTCATAGAGCAGGTTTGAAACACTCTTTTTATAGTATCTGGATGTGGACATTTGGAGCGCTTTCAGGCCTAAGGTGAAAAAGGAAATATATTCTCCTGAAAACTAGACAGAAGCATTCTCAGAATGTTATTTGTTATGTGCGCCCTCAACTAACAGTGTTGAAGCTTTCTTTTGATAGAGCAGTTTTGAAACACTCTTTTTGTAAAATCTGCAAGAGGAGATTTGGATAGCTTTGAGGATTTCTTTGGAAACGGGATTGTCTTCATATAAACTCTAGACAGAAGCATTCTCAGAAGCTTCATTGGGATGTTTCAATTGAAGTCACAGTGTTGAACAGTCCCTTTCATAGAGCAGGTTTGAAACACTCTTTTTGTAGTATCTGGATGTGGACATTTGGAGCGCTTTCAGGCCTATGGTGAAAAAGGAAATATCTTCCCCTGAAAACTAGACAGAAGCATTCTCAGAAACTTATTTGTGATGTGCGCCCTCAACTAACAGTGTTGAAGCTTTCTTTTGATAGAGCAGTTTTGAAACACTCTTTTTGTGGAATCTGCAAGTGGATGTTTGTCTAGCTTTGAGGATTTCGTTGGAAACGGGATTACATATAAAAAGCAGACAGCAGCATTCCCAGAATCTTGTTTGTGATGTTTGCATTCAAGTCACAGAGTTGAACATTCCCTTTCAGAGAGCAGGTTTGAAACACTCTTTTTATAGTATCTGGATGTGGACATTTGGAGCGCTTTCAGGCCTATGGTGAAAAAGGAAATATCTTCTCCTGAAAACTAGACAGAAGCATTCTCAGAATCTTATTTGTGATGTGCGCCCTCAACTAACAGTGTTGAAGCTTTCTTTTGATAGAGCAGTTTTGAAACACTCTTTTCGTAAAATCTGCAAGAGGATATTTTGATAGCTTTGAGGATTTCGTTGGAAACGGGATTGTCTTCTTATAAACTCTAGACAGAAGCATTCTCAGAAGCTTCATTGGGATGTTTCAATTGAAGTCACAGTGTTGAACAGTCCCTTTCATAGAGCAGGTTTGAAACACTCTTTTTGTAGTATCTGGAAGTGGACATTTGGAGAGATCTCAGGAATACGGTGATAAAGGAAATATCTTCCAATAAAAGCTAGATAGAAGCAATGTCAGAAACTTTTTCATGATGTATCTACTCAGCTGAGTTGAACCTTTCTTTTGAGAGAGCAGTTTTGAAACACTCTTTTTGTGGAATCTGCAAGTGGATATTTGTCTAGCTTTGAGGATTTCGTTGGAAACGGGATTACATATAAAAAGCAGACAGCAGCATTCCCAGAAACTTCATTGTGATGTTTGCATTCAAGTCACAGAGTTGAACATTCCCTTTCATAGAGCAGGTTTGAAACACTCTTTTTGTAGCATCTGGAAGTGGACATTTGCAGCGCTTTCAGGCCTAAGGTGAAAAAGGAAATATCTTCCCCTGAAAACTAGACAGAAGCATTCTCAGAATCTTATTTGTGATGTGCGCCCTCAACTAACAGTGTTGAAGCTTTCTTTTGATAGAGCAGTTTTGAAACACTCTTTTTGTAAAATCTGCAAGAGGATATTTGGATAGCTTTGAGGATTTCGTTGGAAACGGGATTGTCTTCATATAAACTCTAGACAGAAGCATTCTCAGAAGCTTCATTGGGATGTTTCAATTGAAGTCACAGTGTTGAACAGTCCCTTTCATAGAGCAGGTTTGAAACACTCTTTTTGTAGTATCTGGAAGTGGACATTTGGAGTGCTCTCAGGACTGCGGTGAAAAAGGAAGTATCTTCCAATAAAAGCTACATAGAAGCAATGTCAGAAACTTTTTCGTGAAGTATCTACTCAGCTAACAGAGTTGAACCTTTCTTTTGAGAGAGCAGTTTTGAAACACTCTTTTTGTGGAATCTGCAAGTGGATATTTGTCTAGATTTGAGGATTTCGTTGGAAACGGGATTACATATAAAAAGCAGACAGCAGCATTCCCAGTAAACTTCTTTGTGATGTTTGCATTCAAGTCACAGAGTTGAACATTCCGTTTCATAGAGCAGGTTTGAAACACTCTTTTTGTAGTATCTGGATGTGGACATTTGGAGCGCTTTCAGGCCTATGGTGAAAAAGGAAATATCTTCCCCTGAAAACTAGACAGAAGCATTCTCAGTAAACTTATTTGTGATGTGCGCCCTCAACTAACAGTGTTGAACCTTTCTTTTGATAGAGCAGTTTTGAAACACTCTTTTTGTAAAATCTGCAAGAGGATATTTGGATAGCTTTGAGGATTTCGTTGGAAACGGGATTGTCTTCATATAGAATCTAGACAGAAGCATTCTCAGTAAGCTTCATTGGGATGTTTCAATTGAAGTTACAGTGTTGAACAGTCCCTTTCATAGAGCAGGTTTCAAACACTCTTTTTGTAGTATCTGGATGTGGACATTTGGAGCGCTTTCAGGCCTATGGTTTAAAAGGAAATATCTTCCCCTGAAAACTAGACAGAAGCATTCTCAGAAACTTATTTGTGATGTGCGCCCTCAACTAACAGTGTTGAAGCATTCTTTTGATAGAGCAGTTTTGAAACACTCTTTTTGTGGAATCTCCAAGTGGATATTTGTCTAGCTTTGAGGATTTCGTTGGAAACGGGATTAATTATAAAAAGCAGACAGCAGCATTCCCAGAATCTTGTTTGTGATGTTTGCATTCAAGTCACAGAGTTGAACATTCCCTTTCAGAGAGCAGGTTTGAAACACTCTTTTTATAGTATCTGGATGTGGACATTTGGAGCGCTTTCAGGCCTATGATGAAAAAGGAAATATCTTCTCCTGAAAACTAGACAGAAGCATTCTCAGAATCTTATTTGTGATGTGCGCCCTCAACTAACAGTGTTGAAGCTTTCTTTTGATAGAGCAGTTTTGAAACACTCTTTTCGTAAAATCTGCAAGAGGATATTTGGATAGCTTTGAGGATTTCGTTGGAAACGGGATTGTCTTCATATAAACTCTAGACAGAAGCATTCTCAGAAGCTTCATTGGGATGTTTCAATTGAAGTCACAGTGTTGAACAGTCCCTTTCATAGAGCAGGTTTGAAACACTCTTTTTGTAGTATCTGGAAGTGGACATTTGGAGAGATCTCAGCAATACGGTGATAAAGGTAATATCTTCCAATAAAAGCTAGATAGAAGCAATGTCAGAAACTTTTTCATGATGTATCTACTCAGCTAACAGAGTTGAACCTTCCTTTGAGAGAGCAGTTTTGAAACACTCTTTTTGTGGAATCTGCAAGTGGATATTTGTCTAGCTTTGAGGATTTCGTTGGAAACGGGATTACATGTAAAAAGCAGACAGCAGCATTCCCAGAAACTTCTTTGTGATGTTTGCATTCAAGTCACACAGTTGAACATTCCCTTTCATAGAGCAGGTTTGAAACACTCTTTTTGTAGTATCTGGATGTGGACATTTGGAGCGCTTTCAGGTCTATGGTGAAAAAGGAAATATCTTCCCCTGAAAACTAGACAGAAGCATTCTCAGAAACTTATTTGTGATGTGCGCCCTCAACTAACACTGTTGAACCTTTCTATTGATAGAGAAGTTTTGAAACACTCTTTTTGTAATATCTGCAAGAGGATATTTGGATAGATTTGAGGATTTCGTTGGAAACGGGATTGTCTTCATATAAACTCTAGACAGAAGCATTCTCAGAAGCTTCATTGGGATGTTTCAATTGAAGTCACAGTGTTGAACAGTCCCTTTCATAGAGCAGGTTTGAAACACTCTTTTTGTAGTATCTGGAAGTGGACATTTGGAGAGATCTCAGGAATACGGTGATAAAGGAAATATCTTCCAATAAAAGCTAGATAGAAGCAATGTCAGAAACTTTTTCATGACGTATCTACTCAGCTAACAGAGTTAAACCTTTCTTTTGAGAGAGCAGTTTTGAAACACTCTTTTTGTGGAATCTGCAAGTGGATATTTGTCTAGCTTTGAGGATTTCGTTGGAAACGGGATTACATATAAAAAGCAGACAGCAGCATTCCCAGAAACTTCTTTGTGAAGTTTGCATTGAAGTCACAGAGTTGAACATTCCCTTTCATAGAGCAGGTTTGAAACACTCTTTTTGTAGTATCTGGATGTGGACATTTGGAGCGCTTTCAGGCCTATGGTGAAAAAGGAAATATCTTCCCCTGAAAACTAGACAGAAGCATTCTCAGAAACTTATTTGTGATGTGCGCCCTCAACTAACAGTGTTGAAGCTTTCTTTTGATAGAGCAGTTTTGAAACACTCTTTTTGTAATATCTGCAAGAGGATATTTGGATAGCTTTGAGGATTTCGTTGGAAACGGGATTGTCTTCATATAAACTCTAGACAGAAGCATTCTCAGAAGCTTCATTGGGATGTTTCAATTGAAGTCACAGTGTTGAACAGTTCCTTTCATAGAACAGGTTTGAAACACTCTTTTTGTAGTATCTGGAAGTGGACATTTGGAGCGCTCTCAGGACTATGGTGAAAAAGGAAATATCTTCCAATAAAAGCTACATAGAAGAAATGTCAGAAACTTTTTCATGATGTATCTACTCAGCTAACAGAGTTGAACCTTTCCTTTGAGAGAGCAGTTTTGAAACACTCTTTTTGTGGAATCTGTAAGTGGATATTTGTCTAGCTTTGAGGATTTCCTTGGAAACGGGATTACATATAAAAAGCAGACAGCAGCATTCCCAGTAACTTCTTTGTGATGTTTGCATTCAAGTCACAGAGTTGAACATTCCCTTTCATAGAGCAGGTTTGAAACACTCTTTTTGTAGTATCTGGATGTGGACATTTGGAGCGCTTTCAGGCCTATGGTGAAAAAGGAAATATCTTCCCCTGAAAACTAGACAGAAGCATTCTCAGAATCTTATTTGTGATGTGCGCCCTCAACTAACAGTGTTGAAGCTTTCTTTTGATAGAGCAGTTTTGAAACACTCTTTTTGTAATATCTGCAAGAGGATATTTGGATAGCTTTGAGGATTTCGTTGGAAACGGGATTAATTATAAAAAGCAGACAGCAGCATTCCCAGAATCTTGTTTGTGATGTTTGCATTCAAGTCACAGAGTTGAACATTCCCTTTCAGAGAGCAGGTTTGAAACACTCTTTTTATAGTATCTGGATGTGGACATTTGGAGCGCTTTCAGGCCTATGGTGAAAAAGGAAATATCTTCTCCTGAAAACTAGACAGAAGCATTCTCAGAATCTTATTTGTGATGTGCGCCCTCAACTAACAGTGTTGAAGCTTTCTTTTGATAGAGCAGTTTTGAAACACTCTTTTCGTAAAATCTGCAAGAGGATATTTTGATAGCTTTGAGGATTTCGTTGGAAACGGGATTGTGCTTCATATAAACTCTACAGAGAAGCATTCTCAGAAGCTTCATTGGGATGTTTCAATTGAAGTCACAGTGTTGAACAGTTCCGTTCAGAGAGCAGGTTTGAAACACTCTTTTTGTAGTATCTGGAAGTGGACATTTGGAGCGCTCTCAGGACTACGGTGAAAAAGGAAATATCTTCCAATAAAAGCTACATAGAAGCAATGTCAGAAACTTTTTCATGATGTATCTACTCAGCTAACAGAGTTGAACCTTTCTTTTGAGAGAGCAGTTTTGAAACACTCTTTTTGTGGAATCTGCAAGTGGATATTTGTCTAGCTTTGAGGATTTCGTTGGAAACGGGATTACATATAAAAAGCAGACAGCAGCATTCCCAGAAACTTCTTTGTGATGTTTGCATTCAAGTCACAGAGTTGAACATTCCCTTTCATAGAGCAGGTTTGAAACACTCTTTTTGTAGTATCTGTATGTGGACATTTGGAGCGCTTTCAGGCCTATGGTGAAAAAGGAAATATCTTCCCCTGAAAACTAGACAGAAGCATTCTCAGAATCTTATTTGTGATGTGCGCCCTCAACTAACAGTGTTGAAGCTTTCTTTTGATAGAGCCGTTTTGAAACACTCTTTTTGTAAAATCTGCAAGAGGATATTTGGATAGCTTTGAGGATTTCGTTGGAAACGGGATTGTCTTCATATAAACTCTAGACAGAAGCATTCTCAGAAGCTTCATTGGGATGTTTCAATTGAAGTCACAGTGTTGAACAGTCCCTTTCATAGAGCAGGTTTGAAACACTCTTTTTGTAGTATCTGGAAGTGGACATTTGGAGCGCTCTCAGGACTACGGTGAAAAAGGAAGTATCTTCCAATAAAAGCTAGATAGAAGCAATGTCAGAAACTTTTTCATGGTGTATCTACTCAGCTAACAGAGTTGAACCTTTCTTTTGAGAGAGCAGTTTTGAAACACTCTTTTTGTGGAATCTGCAAGTGGATATTTGTCTAGCTTTGAGGATTTCGTTGGAAACGGGATTACATATAAAAAGCAGACAGCAGCATTCCCAGAAACTTCTTTGTGATATTTGCATTCAAGTCACAGAGTTGAACATTCCCTTTCATAGAGCAGGTTTGAAACACTCTTTTTGTAGTATCTGGAAGTGGACATTTGGAGAGATCTCAGGAATACGGTGATAAAGGAAATATCTTCCAATAAAAGCTAGATAGAAGCAATGTCAGAAACTTTTTCATGATGTACCTACTCAGCTAACAGAGTTGAAACTTTCTTTTGAGAGAGCAGTTTTGAAACACTCTTTTTGTGGAATCTGCAAGTGGATATTTGTCTAGCTTTGAGGATTTCGTTGGAAACGGGATTACATATAAAAAGCAGACAGCAGCATTCCCAGAAACTTCTTTGTGACGTTTGCATTCAAGTCACAGAGTTGAACATTCCCTTTCATAGAGCAGGTTTGAAACACTCTTTTTGTAGTATCTGGATGTGGACATTTGGAGCGCTTTCAGGCCTATGGTGAAAAAGGAAATATCTTCCCCTGAAAACTAGACAGAAGCATTCTCAGAAACTTATTTGTGATGTGCGCCCTCAACTAACAGTGTTGAAGCTTTCTTTTGATAGAGCAGTTTTGAAACACTCTTTTTGTAAAATCTGCAAGAGGATATTTGGATAGCTTTGAGGATTTCGTTGGAAACGGGATTGTCTTCATATACAATCTAGACAGAAGCATTCTCAGAAGCTTCATTGGGATGTTTCAATTGAAGTCACAGTGTTGAACAGTCCCTTTCGTAGAGCAGGTTTGAAACACTCTTTTTGTAATATCTGGAAGTGGAGATTTGGAGCGCTATCAGGACTACGGTGAAAAAGGAAATATCTTCCAATAAAAGCTAGATAGAAGCAATGTCAGAAACATTTTCATGATGTATCTACTCAGCTAACAGAGTTGAACCTTTCTTTTGAGAGAGCAGTTTTGAAACACTCTTTTTGTGGAATCTGCAAGTGGATATTTGTCTAGCTTTGAGGATTTCGTTGGAAACGGGATTACATATAAAAAGCAGACAGCAGCATTCCGAGAAACTTCTTTGTGATGTTTGCATTCAAGTCACAGAGTTGAACATTCCCTTTCATAGAGCAGGTTTGAAACACTCTTTTTGTAGTATCTGGATTTGGACATTAGGAGCGCTTTCAGGCCCATGGTGAAAAAGGAAATATCTTCCACTGAAAACTAGACAGAAGTATTCTCAGAAACTTATTTGTGATGTGCGCCCTCAACTAACAGTGTTGAAGCTTTCTTTTGATAGAGCAGTTTTGAAACATTCTTTTTGTAAAATCTGCAAGAGGATATTTGGATAGGTTTGAGGATTTCGTTGGAAACGGGATTGTCTTCATATTAACCCTAGACAGTAGCATTCTCAGAAGCTTCATTGGGATGTTTCAATTGAAGTCACAGTGTTGAACAGTCCCTTTCATAGAGCAGGTTTGAAACACTCTTTTTGTAGTATCTGGAAGTGGACATTTGGAGCTACGGACTACGGTGAAAAAGGTAATATCTTCCAATAAAAGCTAGATAGAAGCAATGTCAGAAACTTTTTCATGATGTATCTACTCAGCTAACAGAGTTGAACCTTTCTTTTGAGGCAGCAGTTTTCAAACACTCTTTTTGTGGAATCTGCAAGTGGATATTTGTCTAGCTTTGAGGACTTCGTTGGAAACGGGATTACATAAGAAAAGCAGACAGCAGCATTCCCAGAAACTTCTTTGTGATGTTTGCATTCAAGTCACAGAGTTGAACATTCCCTTTCATAGAGCAGGTTTGAAACACTCTTTTTGTAGTATCTGGATGTGGACATTTGGAGCGCTTTCAGGCCTATGCTGAAAAAGGAAATATCTTCCCCTGAAAACTAGACAGAAGCATTCTCAGAAACTTATTTGTGATGTGCGCCCTCAACTAACAGTGTTGAAGCTTTCTTTTGATAGAGCAGTTTTGAAACACTCTTTTTGTAAAATCTGCAAGAGGATATTTGGATAGCTTTGAGGATTTCGTTGGAAACGGGATTGTCTTCATATAAACTCTAGACAGTAGCATTCTCAGAAGCTTCATTGGGATGTTTCAATTGAAGTCACAGTGTTGAACATTCCCTTTCATAGAGCAGGTTTGAAACACTCTTTTTGTAGTATCTGGATGTGGACATTTGGAGCGCTTTCAGGCCTATGGTTTAAAAGGAAATATCTTCCCCTGAAAACTAGACAGAAGCATTCTCAGAAACTTATTTGTGATGTGCGCCCTCAACTAACAGTGTTGAAGCATTCTTTTGATAGAGCAGTTTTGAAACACTCTTTTTGTGGAATCTGCAAGTGGATATTTGTCTAGCTTTGAGGATTTCGTTGGAAACGGGATTACATATAAAAAGCAGACAGCAGCATTCTCAGCAAACTTATTTGTGATGTGCGCCCTCAACTAACAGTGTGGAACTTTTCTTTTGATAGAGCAGTTTTGAAACACTCTTTTTGTAAAATCTGCAAGAGGATATTTGGATAGCTTTGAGGATTTCGTTGGAAACGGGATTGTCTTCATATAGAATCTAGACAGAAGCATTCTCAGAAGCTTCATTGGGATGTTTCAATTGAAGTCACAGTGTTGAACAGTCCCTTTCATAGAGCAGGTTTGAAACACTCTTTTTGTAGTATCTGGAAGTGGACATTTGGAGCGTTCTGAGGACTACAGTGAAAAAGGAAATATCTTCCAATAAAAGCTAGATAGAAGAAATGTCAGAAACTTTTTCATGATGTATCTACTCAGCTAACAGAGTTGAACCTTTCCTTTGAGAGAGCAGTTTTGAAACACTCTTTTTGTGGAATCTGTAAGTGGATATTTGTCTAGCTTTGAGGATTTCTTTGGAAACGGGATTACATATAAAAAGCAGACAGCAGCATTCCCAGAATCTTCTTTGTGATGTTTGCATTCAAGTCACAGAGTTGAACATTCCCTTTCATAGAGCAGGTTTGAAACACTCTTTTTATAGTATCTGGATGTGGACATTTGGAGCGCTTTCAGGCCTATGGTGAAAAAGGAAATATCTTCTCCTGAAAACTAGACAGAAGCATTCTCAGAATCTTATTTGTGATGTGCTCCCTCAACTAACAGTGTTGAAGCTTTCTTTTGATAGAGCAGTTTTGAAACACTCTTTTTGTAAAATCTGCAAGAGGATATTTGGATAGCTTTGAGGATTTCATTGGAAACGGGATTGTCTTCATATAAACTCTAGACAGAAGCATTCTCAGAAGCTTCATTGGGATGTTTCAATTGAAGTCACAGTGTTGAACAGTCCCTTTCATAGAGCAGGATTGAAACACTCTTTTTGTTGTATCTGGAAGTGGACATTTGGAGCGCTCTCAGGACTACGGTGAAAAAGGAAATATCTTCCAATAAAAGCTACATAGAAGCAATGTCAGAAACTTTTTCATGATGTATCTACTCAGCTAACAGAGTTGAACCTTTCTTTTGAGAGAGCAGTTTTGAAACACTCTTTTTGTGGAATCTGCAAGTGGATATTTGTCTAGCTTTGAGGATTTCGTTGGAAACGGGATTACATATAAAAAGCAGACAGCAGCATTCCCAGAATCTTCTTTGTGATGTTTGCATTCAAGTCACAGAGTTGAACATTCCCTTTCATAGAGCAGGTTTGAAACACTCTTTTTGTAGTATCTGGATGTGGACATTTGGAGCGCTTTCAGGCCTATGGTGAAAAAGGAAATATCTTCTCCTGAAAACTAGACAGAAGCATTCTCAGAAACTTTTTTGTGATGTGCGCCCTCAACTAACAGTGTTGAACCTTTCTTTTGATAGAGCAGTTTTGAAATCCTCTTTTTGTAAAATCTGCAAGAGGATATTTGGATAGCTTTGAGGATTTCGTTGGAAACGGGATTGTCTTCATATAAACTCTAGACAGAAGCATTCTCAGAAGCTTCATTGGGATGTTTCAATTGAAGTCACAGTGTTGAACAGTCCCTTTCATAGAGCAGGTTTGAAACACTCTTTTTGTAGTATCTGGATGTGGACATTTAGAGCGCTTTCAGGCCTATGGTGAAAAAGGAAATATCTTCCCCTGAAAACTAGACAGAAGCATTCTCAGAAACTTATTTGTGATGTGCGCCCTCAACTAACAGTGTTGAAGCATTCTTTTGATAGAGCAGTTTTGAAACACTCTTTTTGTGGAATCTGCAAGTGCATATTTGTCTAGCTTTGAGGATTTCGATGGAAACGGGATTACATATAAAAAGCAGACAGCTAAGCATTCTCCGAAACTTATTTGTGATGGGCGCCCTCAACTAACAGTGTTGAAGCTTTCTTTTGATAGAGCAGTTTTGAAACACTCTTTTTGTAATATCTGCAAGAGGATATTTGGATAGCTTTCAGGATTTCGTTGGAAACGGGATTGTCTTCATATAAACTCTAGACATAAGCATTCTCAGAAGCTTCATTGGGATGTTTCAATTGAAGTCACAGTGTTGAACAGTTCCTTTCATAGAACAGGTTTGAAACACTCTTTTTGTAGTATCTGGAAGTGGACATTTGGAGCGCTCTCAGGACTATGGTGAAAAAGGAAATATCTTCCAATAAAAGCTACATAGAAGCAATGTCAGAAACTTTTTCATGATGTATCTACTCAGCTACCAGAGTTGAACCTTCCTTTGAGAGAGCAGATTTGAAACACTCTTTTTGTGGAATCTGCAAGTGGATATTTGTCTAGCTTTGAGGATTTCGTTGGAAACGGGATTACATATAAAAAGCAGACAGCAGCATTCCCAGAATCTTGTTTGTGATGTTTGCATTCAAGTCACAGAGTTGAACATTCCCTTTCAGAGAGCAGGTTTGAAACACTCTTTTTATAGTATCTGGATGTGGACATTTTGAGCGCTTTCAGGCCTATTGTGAAAAAGGAAATATCTTGCTCCTGAAAACTAGACAGAAGCATTCTCAGAAACTTATTTGTGATGTGCGCCCTCAACTAACAGTGTTGAAGCTTTCTTTTGATAGAGCAGTTTTGAAACACTCTTTTTGTAATATCTGCAAGAGGATATTTGGATAGCTTTGAGGATTTCGTTGGAAACGGGATTGTCTTCATATAAACTCTAGACAGAAGCATTCCCAGAAGCTTCATTGGGATGTTTCAATTGAAGTCACAGTGTTGAACAGTTCCTTTCATAGAACAGGTTTGAAACACTCTTTTTGTAGTATCTGGAAGTGGACATTTGGAGCGCTTTCAGGACTATGGTGAAAAAGGAAATATCTTCCAATAAAAGCTACATAGAAGCAATGTCAGAAACTTTTTCATGATGTATCTACTCAGCTAACAGAGTTGAACCTTTCCTTTGAGAGAGCAGTTTTGAAACACTCTTTTTGTGGAATCTGCAAGTGGATATTTGTCTAGCTTTGAGGATTTCGTTGGAAACGGGATTACATATAAAAAGCAGACAGCAGCATTCCCAGAAACTTCTTTGTGATGTTTGCATTCAAGTCACAGATTTGAACATTCCCTTTCATAGAGCAGGTTTGAAACACTCTTTTTGTAGTATCTGGATGTGGACATTTGGAGCGCTTTCAGGCCTATGGTGAAAAAGGAAATATCTTCCCCTGAAAACTAGACAGAAGCATTCTCAGAATCTTATTTGTGATGTGCGCCCTCAACTAACAGTGTTGAAGCTTTCTTTTGATAGAGCAGTTTTGAAACACTCTTTTTGTAAAATCTGCAAGAGGATATTTGGATAGCTTTGAGGATTTCGTTGGAAACGGGATTGTCTTCATATAAACTCTAGACAGAAGCATTCTCAGAAGCTTCATTGGGATGTTTCAATTGAAGTCACAGTGTTGAACAGTCCCTTTCATAGAGCAGGTTTGAAACACTCTTTTTGTAGTATCTGGATGTGGACATTTGGAGCGCTTTCAGGCCTATGGTGAAAAAGGAAATATCTTCCCCTGAAAACTAGACAGAAGCAATGTCAGAAACTTTTTCATGATGTATCTACTCAGCTAACAGAGTTGAACCTTTCCTTTGAGAGAGCAGTTTTGAAACAGTCTTTTGGTGGAATCTGCAAGTGGATATTTGTCTAGCTTTGAGGATTTGGTTGGAAACGGGATTACATATAAAAAGCAGACAGCAGCATTCCCAGAAACTTCTTTGTGATATTTGCATTCAAGTCACAGACTTGAACATTCCCTTCCATAGAGCGGGTTTGAAACACTCTTTTTGTAGTATCTGGATGTGGACCTTTGGAGCGCTTTCAGGCCTATGGTGAAAAAGGAAATATCTTCCCCTGAAAACTAGACAGAAGCATTCTCAGAAACTTATTTGTGATGTGCGCCCTCAACTAGCAGTGTGGAACCTTTCTTTTGATAGAGCAGTTTTGAAACACTCTTTTTGTAATATCTGCAAGAGGATATTTGGATAGCTTTGAGGATTTCGTTGGAAACGGGATTGTCTTCATATAAACTCTAGACAGAAGCATTCTCAGAAGCTTCATTGGGATGTTTCAATTGAAGTCACAGTGTTGAACAGTCCCTTTCATAGAGCAGGTTTGAAACACTCTTTTTGTAGTATCTGGATGTGGACATTTCGAGCGCTTTCAGGCCTATGGTGAAAAAGGAAATATCTTCCCCTGAAAACTAGACAGAAGCATTCTCAGAAACTTATTTGTGATGTGCGCCCTCAACTAACAGTGTTGAAGCTTTCTTTTGATAGAGCAGTTTTGAAACACTCTTTTTGTAAAATCTGCAAGAGGATATTTGGATAGCTTTGAGGATTTCGTTGGAAACGGGATTGTCTTCATATAAACTCCAGACAGAAGCATTCTCAGATGCTTCATTGGGATGTTTCAATTGAAGTCACAGTGTTGAACAGTCCCATTCATAGAGCAGGTTTGAAACACTCTTTTTGTAGTATCTGGATGTGGACATTTGGAGCGCTTTCAGGCCTATGGTAAAAAAGGAAATATCTTCCCCTGAAAACTAGACAGAAGCATTCTCAGAAACTTATTTGTGATGTGCCCCCTCAACTAACAGTGTTGAAGCTTTCTTTTGATAGAGCAGTTTAGAAACACTCTTTTTGTGGAATCTGCAAGTGGATATTTGTCTAGCTTTGAGGATTTCGTTGGAAACGGGATTACATATAAAAAGCAGACAGCAGCATTCCCAGAATCTTCTTTGTGATGTTTGCATTCAAGTCACAGAGTTGAACATTCCCTTTCATAGAGCAGGTTTGAAACACTCTTTTTGTAGTATCTCGATGTGGACATTTGGAGCGCTTTCAGGCCTATGGTGAAAAAGGAAATATCTTCTCCTGAAAACTAGACAGAAGCATTCTCAGAATCTTATTTGTGATGTGCGCCCTCGACTAACAGTGTTGAAGCTTTCTTTTGATAGAGCAGTTTTGAAACACTCTTTTTGTAAAATCTGCAAGAGGATATTTGCATAGCTTTGAGGATTTCATTGGAAACGGGATTGTCTTCATATAAACTCTAGACAGAAGCATTCTCAGAAGCATATCATTGGGATGTTTCAATTGAAGTCACAGTGTTGAACAGTCCCTTTCATGGAGCAGGTTTGAAACACTCTTTTTGTAGTATCTGGAATGTGGACATTTGGAGCGCTTTCAGGCCTATGGTGAAAAAGGAAATATCTTCCCCTGAAAACTAGACAGAAGCATTCTCAGAAACTTATTTGTGATGTGCGCCCTCAACTAACAGTGTTGAAGCTTTCTTTTGATAGAGCAGTTTTGAAACACTCTTTTTGTGGAATCTGCAAGTGGATATTTGTCTAGCTTTGAGGATTTCGTTTGAAACGGGATTACATATAAAAAGCAGACAGCAGCATTCTCAGAAACTTATTTGTGATGTGCGCCCTCAACTAACAGTGTTGAAGCTTTATTTTGATAGAGCAGTTTTGAAACACTCTTTTTGTAATATCTGCAAGAGAATATTTGGATAGCTTTGAGGATTTCGTTGGAAACGGGATTGTCTTCATATAAACTCTAGAAAGAAGCATTCTCAGAAGCTTCATTGGGATGTTTCAATTGAAGTCACAGTGTTGAACAGTCCCTTTCATAGAGCAGGTTTGAAACACTCTTTTTGTAGTATCTGGAAGTGGACATTTGGAGCGCTCTCAGGACTACGGTGAAAAAGGAAATATCTTCCAATAAAAGCTACATAGAAGCAATGTCAGAAACTTTTTCATGATGTATCTACTCAGCTAACAGAGTTGAACCTTTCTTTTGAGAGAGCAGTTTTGAGACACTCTTTTTGTGGAATCTGCAAGTGGATATTTGTCTAGCTTTGAGGATTTCGTTGGAAACGGGAATACATATAAAAAGAAGACAGCAGCATTCCCAGAAACTTCTTTGTGATGTTTGCATTCAAGTCACAGAGTTGAACATTCCCTTTCATAGAGCAGGTTTGAAACTCTCTTTTTGTAGTATCTGGATGTGGACATTTGGAGCGCTTTCAGGCCTATGGTGAAAAAGGAAATATCTTCCCCTGAAAACTAGACAGAAGCATTCTCAGAATCTTATTTGTGATGTGCGCCCTCAACTAACAGTGTTGAAGCTTTCTTTTGATAGAGCAGTTTTGAAACACTCTTTTTGTAATATCTGCAAGAGGATGTTTGGATAGCTTTGAGGATTTCGTTGGAGACGGGATTGTCTTCATATAAACTCTAGACAGAAGCATTCTCAGAAGCTTCATTGGGATGTTTCAATTGAAGTTGCAGTGTTGAACAGTCCCTTTCATAGAGCAGGTTTGAAACACTCTTTTTGTAGTATCTGGATGTGGACATTTGGAGCGCTTTCAGGCCTATGGTTTAAAAGGAAATATCTTCCCCTGAAAACTAGACAGAAGCATTCTCAGAAACTTATTTGTGATGTGCGCCCTCAACTAACAGTGTTGAAGCTTTCTTTTGATAGAGCAGTTTTGAAACACTCTTTTTGTGGAATCTGCAAGTGGATATTTGTCTAGCTTTGAGGATTTCGTTGGAAACGGGATTACATATAAAAAGCAGACAGCAGCATTCCCAGAAACTTCTTTGTGATGTTTGCATTCACGTCACAGAGTTGAACATTCCCTTTCATAGAGCAGGTTTGAAACACTCTTTTTGTAGTATCTGGATGTGGACATTTGGAGCGCTTTCAGGCCTATGGTGAAAAAGGAAATATCTTCCCCTGAAAACTAGACAGAAGCATTCTCAGAAACTTATTTGTGATGTGCGCCCTCAACTAACAATGTTGAAGCTTTCTTTTGATAGAGCAGTTTTGAAACACTCTTTTTGTAATATCTGCAAGAGGATACTTGGATAGCTTTGAGGATTTCGTTGGAAACGGGATTGTCTTCATATAAACTCTAGACAGAAGCATTCTCAGAAGCGTCATTGGGATGTTTCAATTGAAGTCACAGTGTTGAACAGTCCCTTTCATAGAGCAGGTTTGAAACACTCTTTTTGTAGTATCTGGATGTGGACATTTGGAGCGCTTTCAGGCCTATGGTTTAAAAGGAAATATCTTCCCCTGAAAACTAGACAGAAGCATTCTCAGAAACTTATTTGTGATGTGCGCCTTCAACTAACAGTGTTGAAGCATTCTTTTGATAGAGCAGTTTTGAAACACTCTTTTTGTGGAATCTGCAAGTGGATATTTGTCTAGCTTTGAGGATTTCGTTGGAAACGGGATTACATATAAAAAGCAGACAGCAGCATTCTCAGAAACTTATTTGTGATGTGCGCCCTCAACTAACAGTGTTGAAGCTTTCTTTTGATAGAGCAGTTTTGAAACACTCTTTTTGTAATATCTGCAAGAGGATATTTGGATAGCTTTGAGGATTTCGTTGGAAACGGGATTAATTATACAAAGCAGACAGCAGCATTCCCAGAAGCTTCATTGGGATGTTTCAATTGAAGTCACAGTGTTGAACAGTTCCTTTCATAGAGCAGGTTTGAAACACTCTTTTTGTAGTATCTGGAAGTGGACATTTGGAGCGCTCTCAGGACTATGGTGAAAAAGGAAATATCTTCCAATAAAAGCTACATAGAAGCAATGTCAGAAACATTTTCATGATGTATCTACTCAGCTAACAGAGTTGAACCTTTCTTTTGAGAGAGCAGTTTTGAAACACTCTTTTTGTGGAATCTGCAAGTGGATATTTGTCTAGCTTTGAGGATTTCGTTGGAAACGGGATTACATATAAAAAGCAGACAGCAGCATTCCCAGTAACTACTTTGTGATGTTTGCATTCAAGTCACAGAGTTGAACATTCCCTTTCATAGAGCAGGTTTGAAACACTCTTTTTGTAGTATCTGGATGTGGACATTTCGAGCGCTTTCAGGCCTATGGTGAAAAAGGAAATATCTTCCCCTGAAAACTAGACAGAAGCATTCTCAGAAACTTATTTGTGATGTGGGCCCTCAACTAACAGTGTTGAAGCTTTCTTTTGATAGAGCAGTTTTGAAACACTCTTTTCGTAAAATCTGCAAGAGGATATTTGGATAGCTTTGAGGATTTCGTTGGAAACGGGATTGTCTTCATATAAACTCTAGACAGAAGCATTCTCAGAAGCTTCATTGGGATGTTTCAATTGAAGTCACAGTGTTGAACAGTCCCTTTCATAGAGCAGGTTTGAAACACTCTTTTTGTAGTATCTGGATGTGGACATTTGGAGCGCTTTCGGGCCTATGGTGAAAAAGGAAATATCTTCCCCTGAAAACTAGACAGAAGCATTCTCAGAAACTTATTTGTGATGTGCGCCCTCAACTAACAGTGTTGAAGCTTTCTTTTGATAGAGCAGTTTTGAAACACTCTTTTTGTGGAATCTGCAAGTGGATATTTGTCTAGCTTTGAGGATTTCGTTGGAAACGGGATTACATATAAAAAGCAGACAGCAGCATTCTCAGTAAACTTATTTGTGATGTGCGCCCTCAACTAACAGTGTTGAACCTTTCTTTTGATAGAGCAGTTTTGAAACACTCTTTTTGTAATATCTGCAAGAGGATATTTGGATAGCTTTGAGGATTTCGTTGGAAACGGGATTGTCTTCATATAAACTCTAGACAGAAGCATTCTCAGAAGCTTCATTGGGATGTTTCAATTGAAGTCACAGTGTTGAACAGTCCCTTTCATAGAGCATGTTTGAAACAATCTTTTTGTAGTATCTGGAAGTGGACATTTGGAGCGTTCTCAGGACGACAGTGAAAAAGGAAATATCTTCCAATAAAAGCTAGATAGAAGAAATGTCAGAAAATTTTTCATGATGTATCTACTCAGCTAACAGAGTTGAACCTTTCTTTGGAGAGAGTAGTTTTGAAACACTCTTTTTGTGGAATCTGCAAGTGGATATTTGTCTAGTTTTGAGGATTGCGTTGTAAATGGTATTACATATAAAAAGCAGACAGCAGCATTCCCAGAAACTTCTTTGTGATATTTGCATTGAAGTCACAGACTTGAACAGTCCGTTTCATAGAGCAGGTTTGAAACACTCTTTTTGTAGTATCTGGATGTGGACATTTGGAGCGCTTTCAGGCCTATGGTGAAAAAGGAAATATCTTCCCCTGAAAACTAGACAGAAGCATTCTCAGAAACTTATTTGTCATGTGCGCCCTCAACTAACAGTGTTGAACCTTTCTTTTGATAGAGCAGTTTTGATACACTCTTTTTGTAAAATCCGCAAGAGGATATTTGGATAGCTTTGAGGATTACGTTGGAAACGGGATTGTCTTCATATAGAATCTAGACAGAATCATTCTCAGAAGCTTCATTGGGATGTTTCAATTGAAGTCACAGTGTTGAACAGTCCCTTTCATAGAGCAGATTTGAAACATTCTTTTTGTAGTATCTGGAAGTGGACATTTGGAGCGCTCTCAGGACTACAGTGAAAAAGGAAATATCTTCCAATAAAAGCTAGATAGAAGCAATGTCAGAAAATTTTTCATGATGTATCTACTCAGCTAACAGGGTTGAACCTTTCTTTTGAGAGAGCAGTTTTGAAACACTCTTTTTGTGGAATCTGCAAGTGGATATTTGTCTAGCTTTGAGGATTGCGTTGGAAACGGGATTACATATAAAAAGCAGGCAGCAGCATTCCCAGAAACTTCTTTGTGATATTTGCATTCAAGTCACAGACTTGAACATTCCCTTCCATAGAGCGGGTTTGAAACACTCTTTTTGTAGTATCTGGATGTGGACATTTGGAGCGCTTTCAGGCCTATGGTGAAAAAGGAAATATCTTACCCTGAAAACTAGACAGAAGCATTCTCAGAATCTTATTTGTGATGTGCGCCCTCAACTAACAGTGTTGAAGCTTTCTTTTGATAGAGCAGTTTTGAAACACTCTTTTTGTAAAATCTGCAAGAGGATATTTGGATAGCTTTGAGGATTTCGTTGGAAACGGGATTGTCTTCATATAAAATCTAGACAGAAGCATTCTCAGAAGCTTCATTGGGATGTTTCAATTGAAGTCACAGTGTTGAACAGTCCCTTTCATAGAGCAGGTTTGAAACACTCTTTTTGTAGTATCTGGAAGTGGACATTTGGAGCGCTCTCAGGACTACGGTGAAAAAGGAAATATCTTCCAAATAAAGCTAGATAGAAGCAATCTCAGAAACTTTTTCATGATGTATCTACTCAGCTAACAGAGTTGAACATTTCTTTTGAGAGAGCCGTTTTGAAACACTCTTTTTGTGGAATCTGCAAGTGGATATTTGTCTAGCTTTGAGGATTTCGTTGGAAACGGGATTACATATAAAAAGCAGACAGAAGCATTCCCAGAAACTTCTTTGTGATGTTTGCATTCAAGTCACAGAGTTGAACATTCCCTTTCATAGAGCAGGTTTGAAACACTCTTTTTGTATTATCTGGATGTGGACATTTGGAGCGCCTTCAGGCCTATGGTGAAAAAGGAAATATCTTCCCCTGAAAACTAGACAGAAGAATTCTCAGAAACTTATTTGTGATGCGCGCCCTCAACTAACAGTGTTGAAGCTTTCTTTTGATAGGGCAGTTTTGAAACACTCTTTTTGTAAAATCTGCAAGAGGATATTTGGATAGCTTTGAGGATTTCGGTGGAAATGGGATTGTCTTCATATAAACTCTAGACAGTAGCATTCTCAGAAGCGTCATTGGGATGTTTCAATTGAAGTCACAGTGTTGAACAGTCCCTTTCATAGAGCAGGTTTGAAACACTCTTTTTGTAGTATCTGGATGTGGACATTTGGAGCGCTTTCAGGCCTATGGTTTAAAAGGAATATCTTCCCCTGAAAACTAGACAGAAGCATTCTCAGAAACTTATTTGTGATGTGCGCCCTCAACTAACAGTGTTGATGCATTCTTTTGATAGAGCAGTTTTGAAACACTCTTTTTGTGGAATCTGCAAGTGGATATTTGTCTAGCTTTGAGGATTTCGTTGGAAACGGGATTAATTATAAAAAGCAGACAGCAGCATTCTCAGAAACTTATTTGTGATGTGCGCCCTCAACTAACAGTGTTGAAGCTTTCTTTTGATAGAGCAGTTTTGAAACACTCTTTTTGTAATATCTGCAAGAGGATATTTGGATAGCTTTGAGGATTTCGTTGGAAACGGGATTAATTATACAAAGCAGACAGCAGAATTCTCAGAAGCTTCATTGGGATGTTTCAATTGAAGTCACAGTGTTGAACAGTCCCTTTCATAGAGCAGGTTTGAAACACTCTTTTTGTAGTATCTGAAAGTGGACATTTGGAGAGATCTCAGGAATACGGTGATAAAGGAAATATCTTCCAATAAAAGCTAGATAGAAGCAATGTCAGAAACTTTTTCATGATGTATCTACTCAGCTAACAGAGTTGAACCTTTCTTTTGAGAGAGCAGTTTTGAAACACTCTTTTTGTGGAATCTGCAAGTGGATATTTGTCTAGCTTTGAGGATTTCGTTGGAAACGGGATTACATATACAAAGCAGACAGCAGCATTCCCAGAAACTTCTTTGTGATGTTGGCATTCAAGTCACAGAGTTGAACACTCCCTTTCATAGAGCAGGTTTGAAACACTCTTTTTGTAGTATCTGGATGTGGACATTTGCAGCGCTTTCAGGCCTAAGGTGAAAAAGGAAATATCTTCCCCTGAAAACTAGACAGAAGCATTCTCAGAAACTTATTTGTGATGTGCGCCCTCAACTAACAGTGTTGAAGCTTTCTTTTGATAGAGCAGTTTTGAAACACTCTTTTTGTAATATCTGCAAGAGGATATTTGGATAGCTTTGACGATTTCGTTGGAAACGGGATTGTCTTCATATAAACTCTAGACAGAAGCATTCTCAGAAGCTTCATTGGGATGTTTCAATTGAAGTCACAGTGTTGAACAGTCCCTTTCATAGAACAGGTTTGATACACTCTTTTTGTAGTATCTGGAAGTGGACATTTGGAGCGCTCTCAGGACTATGGTGAAAAATTAAATATCTTCCAATAAAAGCTACATAGAAGCAATGTCAGAAACTTTTTCATGATGTATCTACTCAGCTAACAGAGGTGAACCTTTCCTTTGAGAGAGCAGTTTTGAAACACTCTTTTTGTGGAATCTGCAAGTGGATATTTGTCTAGCTTTGAGGATTTCGTTGGAAACGGGATTACATATAAAAAGCAGACAGCAGCATTCCCAGTAACTTCTTTGTGATGTTTGCATTCAAGTCACAGAGTTGAACATTCCCTTTCATAGAGCAGGTTTGAAACACTCTTTTTGAAGTATCTGGATGTGGACATTTGGAGCGCTTTCAGGCCTATGGTGAAAAAGGAAATATCTTCCCCTGAAAACTAGACAGAAGCATTCTCAGAAACTTATTTGTGATGTGCGCCCTCAACTAACAGTGTTGAACCTTTCTTTTGATAGAGCAGTTTTGAAACACTCTTTTTGTAATATCTGCAAGAGGATATTTGGATAGCTTTGAGGATTTCGTTGGAAACGGGATTGTCTTCATATAAACTCTAGACAGAAGCATTCTCAGAAGCTTCATTGGGATGTTTCAATTGAAGTCACAGTGTTGAACAGTCCCTTTCATAGAGCAGGTTTGAAACACTCTTTTTGTAGTATCTGGAAGTGGACATTTGGAGAGATCTCAGGAGTACGGTGATAAAGGAAATATCTTCCAATAAAAGCTAGATAGAAGCAATGTCAGAAACTTTTTCATGATGTATCTACTCAGCTAACAGAGTTGAACCTTTCTTTTGAGAGAGCAGTTTTGAAACACTCTTTTTGTGGAATCTGCAAGTGGATATTTGTCTAGCTTTGAGGATTTCGTTGGAAACGGGATTACATATAAAAAGCAGACAGCAGCATTCCCAGAATCTTCTTTGTGATGTTTGCATTCAAGTCACAGAGTTGAACATTCCGTTTCATAGAGCAGGTTTGAAACACTCTTTTTGTAGTATCTGGATGTGGACATTTGGAGCGCTTTCAGGCCTATGGTGAAAAAGGAAATATCTTCCCCTGAAAACTAGACAGAAGCATTCTCAGAAACTTATTTGTGATGTGCGCCCTCAACTAACAGTGTTGAACCTTTCTTTTGATAGAGCAGTTTTGAAACACTCTTTTTGTAATATCTGCAAGAGGATATTTGGATAGCTTTGAGGATTTCGTTGGAAACGGGATTACATATAAAAAGCAGACAGCAGCATTCCCAGAATCTTGTTTGTGATGTTTGCATTCAAGTCAGAGTTGAACATTCCCTTTCAGAGAGCAGGTTTGAAACACTCTTTTTATAGTATCTGGATGTGGACATTTGGAGCGCTTTCAGGCCTATGGTGAAAAAGGAAATATCTTCTCCTGAAAACTAGACAGAAGCATTCTCAGAATCTTATTTGTGATGTGCGCCGTCAACTAACAGTGTTGAAGCTTTCTTTTGATAGAGCAGTTTTGAAACACTCTTTTTGTAAAATCTGCAAGAGGATATTTGGATAGCTTTGAGGATTTCGTTGGAAACGGGATTGTCTTCATATAAACTCTAGACAGAAGCATTCTCAGAAGCTTCATTGGGATGTTTCAATTGAAGTCACAGTGTTGAACAGTCCCTTTCATAGAGCAGGTTTGAAACACTCTTTTTGTAGTATCTGGATGTGGACATTTGGAGCGCTTTCAGGCCTATGGTGAAAAAGGAAATATCTTCCCCTGAAAACTAGACAGAAGCATTCTCAGAAACTTATTTGTGATGTGCGCCCTCAACTAACAGTGTTGAAGCATTCTTTTGATAGAGCAGTTTTGAAACACTCTTTTTGTGGAATCTGCAAGTGGATATTTGTCTAGCTTTGAGGATTTCGTTGGAAACGGGATTACATATAAAAAGCAGACAGCAGCATTCTCAGTAAACTTATTTGTGATGTGCGCCCTCAACTAACAGTGTTGAACCTTTCTTTTGATAGAGCAGTTTTGAAACACTCTTTTTGTAATATCTGCAAGAGGATATTTGGATAGCTTTGAGGATTTCGTTGGAAACGGGATTGTCTTCATATAAACTCTAGACAGAAGCATTCTCAGAAGCTTCATTGGGATGTTTCAATTGAAGTCACAGTGTTGAACAGTCCCTTTCATAGAGCAGGTTTGAAACACTCTTTTTGTAGTATCTGGAAGTGGACATTTGGAGCGCTCTCAGGACTACGGTGAAAAAGGAAATATCTTCCAATAAAAGCAAGATAGAAGCAATGTCAGAAAATTTTTCATGATGTATCTACTCAGCTAACAGAGTTGAACCTTTCTTTTGAGAGAGCAGTTTTGAAACACTCTTTTTGTGGAATCTGCAAGTGGATATTTGTCTAGCTTTGAGGATTTCGTTGGAAACGGGATTACATATAAAAAGCAGACAGCAGCATTCCCAGAATCTTGTTTGTGATGTTTGCATTCAAGTCACAGAGTTGAACATTCCCTTTCAGAGAGCAGGTTTGAAACACTCTTTTTATAGTATCTGGATGTGGACATTTTGAGCGCTTTCAGGCCTATGGTGAAAAAGGAAATATCTTCTCCTGAAAACTAGACAGAAGCATTCTCAGAATCTTATTTGTGATGTGCGCCCTCAACTAACAGTGTTGAAGCTTTCTTTTGATAGAGCAGTTTTGAAACACTCTTTTCGTAAAATCTGCAAGAGGATATTTTGATAGCTTTGAGGATTTCGTTGGAAACGGGATTGTCTTCATATAAACTCTAGACAGAAGCTTTCTCAGAAGCTTCATTGGGATGTTTCAATTGAAGTCACAGTGTTGAACAGTCCCTTTCATAGAGCAGGTTTGAAACACTATTTTTGTAGTATCTGGAAGTGGACATTTGGAGAGATCTCAGGAATACGGTGATAAAGGAAATATCTTCCAATAAAAGCTAGATAGAAGCAATGTCAGAAACTTTTTCATGATGTACCTACTCAGCTAACAGAGTTGAACCTTTCTTTTGAGAGAGCAGTTTTGAAACACTCTTTTTGTGGAATCTGCAAGTGGATATTTGTCTAGTTTTGAGGATTTCGTTGGAAACGGGATTACATATAAAAAGCAGACAGCTGCATTCCCAGAAACTTCTTTGTGATGTTTGCATTCAAGTCACAGAGTTGAACATTCCCTTTCATAGAGCAGGCTTGAAACACTCTTTTTGTAGTATCTGGATGTGGACATTTGGAGCGCTTTCAGGCCTATGGTGAAAAAGGAAATATCTTCCCCTGAAAACTAGACAGAAGCATTCTCAGAATCTTATTTGTGATGTGCGCCCTCAACTAACAGTGTTGAAGCTTTCTTTTGATAGAGCAGTTTTGAAACACTCTTTTTGTAAAATCTGCAAGAGGATATTTGGATAGCTTTGAGGATTTCGTTGGAAACGGGATTGTCTTCATATAAACTCTAGACAGAAGCATACTCAGAAGCTTCATTGGGATGTTTCAATTGAAGTCACAGTGTTGAACAGTCCCTTTCATAGAGCAGGTTTGAAACACTCTTTTTGTAGTATCTGGAAGTGGACATTTGGAGCGCTCTCAGGACTACGGTGAAAAAGGAAATATCTTCCAATAAAAGCTACATAGAAGCAATGTCAGAAACTTTTTCATGATGTATCTACTCAGCTAACAGAGTTGAACCTTTCCTTTGAGAGAGCAGTTTTGAAACACTCTTTTTGTGGAATCTGCAAGTGGATATTTGTCTAGCTTTGAGGATTTCGTTGGAAACGGGATTACATATAAAAAGCAGACAGCAGCATTCCCAGTAACTTCTTTGTGATGTTTGCATTCAAGTCACAGAGTTGAATATTCCCTTTCATAGAGCAGGTTTGAAACACTCTTTTTGTAGTATCTGGATGTGGACATTTGGAGCGCTTTCAGGCCTATGGTGAAAAAGGAAATATCTTCCCCTGAAAACTAGACAGAAAGCATTCTCAGTAAACTTATTTGTGATGTGCGCCCTCAACTAACAGTGTTGAACCTTTCTTTTGATAGAGCAGTTTTGAAACACTCTTTTTGTAATATCTGCAAGAGGATATTTGGATAGCTTTGAGGATTTCGTTGGAAACGGGATTGTCTTCATATAAACTCTAGACAGAAGCATTCTCAGAAGCTTCATTGGGATGTTTCAATTGAAGTCACAGTGTTGAACACTCCCTTTCATAGAGCAGGTTTGAAACACTCTTTTTGTAGTATCTGGATGTGGACATTTGGAGCGCTTTCAGGCCTATGGTTTAAAAGGAAATATCTTCCCCTGAAAACTAGACAGAAGCATTCTCAGAAACTTATTTGTGATGTGCGCCCTCAACTACCAGTGTTGAAACATTCTTTTGATAGAGCAGTTTTGAAACACTCTTTTTGTGGAATCTGCAAGTGGATATTTGTCTAGCTTTGAGGATTTCGTTGGAAACGGGATTACATATAAAAAGCAGACAGCAGCATTCCCAGAAACTTCTTTGTGATGTTTGCATTCAAGTCACAGAGTTGAACATTCCCTTTCATAGAGCAGGTTTGAAACATTCTTTTTGTAGTATCTGGATGTGGACATTTGGAGCGCTTTCAGGCCTATGGTGAAAAAGGAAATATCTTCCCCTGAAAACTAGACAGAAGCATTTTCAGAATCTTATTTGTGATGTGCGCCCTCAACTAACAGTGTTGAAGCTTTCTTTTGATAGAGCAGTTTTGAAACACTCTTTTCGTAAAATCTGCAAGAGGATATTTTGATAGCTTTGAGGATTTCGTTGGAAACGGGATTGTCTTCATATAAACTCTAGACAGAAGCATTCTCAGAAGCGTCATTGGGATGTTTCAATTGAAGTCACAGTGTTGAACAGTCCCTTTCATAGAGCAGGTTTGAAACACTCTTTTTGTAGTATCTGGATGTGGACATTTGGAGCGCTTTCAGGCCTATGGTTTAAAAGGAAATATCTTCCCTTGAAAACTAGACAGAAGCATTCTCAGAAACTTATTTGTGATGTGCGCCCTCAACTAACAGTGTTGAAGCATTCTTTTGATAGAGCAGTTTTGAAACACTCTTTTTGTGGAATATGGAAGTGGATATTTGTCTAAATTTGAGGATTTCGTTGGAAACGGGATTACATATAAAAAGCAGACAGCAGCATTCCCAGGAAACTTCTTTGTGAAGTTAGCATTCAAGTCACAGAGTTGAACATTCCCTTTCATAGAGCAGGTTTGAAACACTCTTTTTGTAGTATCTGGATGTGGACATTTGGAGCGCTTTCAGGCCTATGGTGAAAAAGGAAATATCTTCCCCTGAAAACTAGACAGAAGCATTCTCAGAATCTTATTTGTGATGTGCGCCCTCAACTAACAGTGTTGAAGCTTTCTTTTGATAGAGCAGTTTTGAAACACTCTTTTTGTAAAATCTGCAAGAGGATATTTGGATAGCTTTGAGGATTTCGTTGGAAACGGGATTGTCTTCATATAAACTCTAGACAGAAGCATTCTCAGAAGCTTCATTGGGATGTTTCAATTGAAGTCACAGTGTTGAACAGTCCCTTTCATAGAGCAGGTTTGAAACACTCTTTTTGTAGTATCTGGATGTGGACATTTGGAGCGCTTTCAGGCCTATGGTTTATAAGAAAATATCTTCCCCTGAAAACTAGACAGAAGCATTCTCAGAAAACTTATTTGTGATGTGCGCCCTCAACTAACAGTGTTGGAGCTTTCTTTTGATAGAGCAGTTTTGAAACACTCTTTTTGTAATATCTGCAAGAGGATATTTGGATAGCTTTGAGGATTTCGTTGGAAACGGGATTAATTATAAAAAGCAGACAGCAGCATTCTCAGTAAACTTATTTGTGATGTGCGCCCTCAACTAACAGTGTTGAACCTTTCTTTTGATAGAGCAGTTTTGAAACACTCTTTTTGTAATATCTGCAAGAGGATATTTGGATAGCTTTGAGGATTTCGTTGGAAACGGGATTGTCTTCATATAAACTCTAGACAGAAGCATTCTCAGAAGCTTCATTGGGATGTTTCAATTGAAGTCACAGTGTTGAACAGTCCCTTTCATAGAGCAGGTTTGAAACACTCTTTTTGTAGTATCTGGAAGTGGACATTTGGAGAGATCTCAGGAATACGGTGATAAAGGAAATATCTTCCAATAAAAGCTAGATAGAAGCAATGTCAGAAACTTTTTCATGATGTATCTACTCAGCTAACAGAGTTGAACCTTTCTTTTGAGAGAGCAGTTTTGAAACACTCTTTTTGTGGAATCTGCAAGTGGATATTTGTCTAGCTTTGAAGATTTCGTTGGAAACGGGATTACATATAAAAAGCAGACAGCAGCATTCCCAGTAACTTCTTTGTGATGTTTGCATTCAAGTCACAGAGTTGAACATTCCCTTTCATAGAGCAGGTTTGAAACACTCTTTTTGTAGTATCTGGATGTGGACATTTGGAGCGCTTTCAGGCCTATGGTGAAAAATGAAATATCTTCCCCTGAAAACTAGACAGAAGCATTCTCAGAAACTTATTTGTGATGTGCACCCTCAACTAACAGTGTTGAAGCTTTCTTTTGACAGAGCAGTTTGAAACACTCTTTTTGTAAAATCTGCAAGAGGATATTTGGATTGTTTGAGGATTTCGGTGGAAATGGGATTGTCTTCATATAAACTCTAGACAGTAGCATTCTCAGAAGCTTCATTGGGATGTTTCAATTGAAGTCACAGTGTTGAACAGTCCCTTTCATAGAGCAGGTTTGAAACACTCTTTTTGTAGCATCTGGAAGTGGACATTTGGAGCGCTCTCAGGACTACGGTGAAAAAGGAAATATCTTCCAATAAAAGCTAGATAGAAGCAATGTCAGAAACTTTTTCATGATGTATCTACTCAGCTAACAGAGTTGAACCTTTCCTTTGAGAGAGCAGTTTTGAAACACTCTTTTTGTGGAATCTGCAAGTGGATATTTGTCTAGCTTTGAGGATTTCGTTGGAAACGGGATTACATATAAAAAGCAGACAGCAGCATTCCCAGTAACTTCTTTGTGATGTTTGCATTCAAGTCACAGAGTTGAATATTCCCTTTCATAGAGCAGGTTTGAAACACTCTTTTTGTAGTATCTGGATGTGGACATTTGGAGCGCTTTCAGGCCTATGGTGAAAAAGGAAATATCTTCCCCTGAAAACTAGACAGAAGCATTCTCAGAATCTTATTTGTGATGTGCGCCCTCAACTAACAGTGTTGAAGCTTTCTTTTGATAGAGCAGTTTTGAAACACTCTTTTTGTAAAATCTGCAAGAGGATATTTGGATAGCTTTGAGGATTTCGTTGGAAACGGGATTGTCTTCATATAAACTCTAGACAGAAAGCATTCTCAGAAGCGTCATTGGGATGTTTCAATTGAAGTCACAGTGTTGAACAGTCCCTTTCATAGAGCAGGTTTGAAACACTCTTTTTGTAGTATCTGGATGTGGACATTTGGAGCGCTTTCAGGCCTATGGTTTAAAAGGAAATATCTTCCCCTGAAAACTAGACAGAAGCATTCTCAGAAACTTATTTGTGATGTGCGCCTTCAACTAACAGTGTTGAAGCATTCTTTTGATAGAGCAGTTTTGAAACACTCTTTTTGTGGAATCTGCAAGTGGATATTTGTCTAGCTTTGAGGATTTCGTTGGAAACGGGATTACATATAAAAAGCAGACAGCAGCATTCTCAGAAACTTATTTGTGATGTGCGCCCTCAACTAACAGTGTTGAAGCTTTCTTTTGATAGAGCAGTTTTGAAACACTCTTTTTGTAATATCTGCAAGAGGATATTTGGATAGCTTTGAGGATTTCGTTGGAAACGGGATTAATTATACAAAGCAGACAGCAGCATTCTCAGAAGCTTCATTGGGATGTTTCAATTGAAGTCACAGTGTTGAACAGTCCCTTTCATAGAGCAGGTTTGAAACACTCTTTTTGTAGTATCTGGAAGTGGACATTTAGAGCGCTCTCAGGACTGCGGTGAAAAAGGAAATATCTTCCAATAAAAGCTAGATAGAAGCAATGTCAGAAACTTTTTCATGATGTATCTACTCAGCTAACAGAGTTGAACCTTTCCTTTGAGAGAGCAGTTTTGAAACACTCTTTTTGTGGAATCTGCAAGTGGATATTTGTCTAGCTTTGAGGATTTCGTTGGAAACGGGATTACATATAAAAAGCAGACAGCAGCATTCCCAGAATCTTCTTTGTTATGTTTGCATTCAAGTCACAGAGTTGAACATTCCCTTTCATAGAGCAGGTTTGAAACACTCTTTTTGTAGTATCTGGATGTGGACATTTGGAGCGCTTTCAGGCCTATGGTGAAAAAGGAAATATCTTCCCCTGAAAACTAGACAGAAGCATTCTCAGAAACTTATTTGTGATGTGCGCCCTCAACTAACAATGTTGAACCTTTCTTTTGATAGAGCAGTTTTGAAACACTCTTTTTGTAATATCTGCAAGAGGATATTTGGATAGATTTGAGGATTTCGTTGGAAACGGGATTGTCTTCATATAAACTCTAGACAGAAGCATTCTCAGAAGCTTCATTGGGATGTTTCAATTGAAGTCACAGTGTTGAACAGTCCCTTTCATAGAGCAGGTTTGAAACACTCTTTTTGTAGTATCTGGATGTGGACATTTGGAGCGCTTTCAGGCCTATGGTGAAAAAGGAAATATCTTCCCCTGAAAACTAGACAGAAGCATTCTCAGAAACTTATTTGTGATGTGCGCCCTCAACTAACAGTGTTGAAGCATTCTTTTGATAGAGCAGTTTTGAAACACTCTTTTTGTGGAATCTGCAAGTGGATATTTGTCTAGCTTTGAGGATTTCGTTGGAAACGGGATTACATATAAAAAGCAGACAGCAGCATTCCCAGGAACATCTTTGTGATGTTTGCATTCAAGTCACAGAGTTGAACATTCCCTTTCATAGAGCAGGTTTGAAACACTCTTTTTGTAGTATCTGGATGTGGACATTTGGAGCGCTTTCAGGCCTAAGGTGAAAAAGGAAATATCTTCCCCTGAAAACTAGACAGAAGCATTCTCAGAAGCTTCATTGGGATGTTTCAATTGAAGTCACAGTGTTGAACAGTCCCTTTCATAGAGCAGGTTTGAAACACTCTTTTTGTAGTATCTGGAAGTGGACATTTGGAGCGCTCTCAGGACTGCGGTGAAAAAGGAAATATCTTCCAATAAAAGCTAGATAGAAGCAATGTCAGAAACTTTTTCATGATGTATCTACTCAGCTAACAGAGTTGAACCTTCATTTGAGAGAGCAGTTTTGAAACACTCGTTTTGTGGAATCTGCAAGTGGATATTTGTCTAGCTTTGAGGATTTCGTTGGAAACGGGATTACATATAAAAAGCAGACAGCAGCATTCCCAGAAACTTCTTTGTGATGTTTGCATTCAAGTCACAGAGTTGAACATTCCGTTTCATAGAGCAGGTTTGAAACACTCTTTTTGTAGTATCTGGATGCGGACATTTGCAGCGCTTTCAGGCCTAAGGTGAAAAAGGAAATATCTTCCCCTGAAAACTAGACAGAAGCATTCTCAGAAACTTATTTGTGATGTGCGCCCTCAACTAACAGTGTTGAAGCTTTCTTTTGATAGAGCAGTTTTGAAACACTCTTTTTGTAATATCTGCAAGAGGATATTTGGATAGCTTTGAGGATTTCGTTGGAAACGGGATTGTCTTCATATAAACTCTAGACAGAAGCATTCTCAGAAGCTTCATTGGGATGTTTCAATTGAAGTCACAGTGTTGAACAGTCCCTTTCATAGAGCAGGTTTGAAACACTCTTTTTGTAGTATCTGGAAGTGGACATTTGGAGCGCTCTCAGGACTGCGGTGAAAAAGGAAATATCTTCCAATAAAAGCTAGATAGAAGCAATGTCAGAAACTTTTTCATGATGTATCTACTCAGCTAACAGAGTTGAACCTTCCTTTGAGAGAGCAGTTTTGAAACACTCGTTTTGTGGAATCTGCAAGTGGATATTTGTCTAGCTTTGAGGATTTCGTTGGAAACGGGATTACATATAAAAAGCAGACAGCAGCATTCCCAGAAACTTCTTTGTGATGTTTGCATTCAAGTCACAGAGTTGAACATTCCCTTTCATAGAGCAGGTTTGAAACACTCTTTTTGTAGTATCTGGATGTGGACCTTTGGAGCGCTTTCAGGCCTATGGTGAAAAAGGAAATATCTTCTCCTGTAAACTAGACAGAAGCATTCTCAGAAACTTATTTGTGATGTGCGCCCTCAACTAACAGTGTTGAACCTTTCTTTTGATAGAGCAGTTTTGAAACACTCTTTTTGTAATATCTGCAAGAGGATATTTGGATAGCTTTGAGGATTTCGTTGGAAACGGGATTGTCTTCATATAAACTCCAGACAGAAGCATTCTCAGAAGCTTCATTGGGATGTTTCAATTGAAGTCACAGTGTTGAACAGTCCCTTTCATAGAGCAGATTTGAAACACTCTTTTTGTAGTATCTGGATGTGGACATTTGGAGCGCTTTCAGGCCTATGATTTAAAAGGAAATATCTTCCCCTGAAAACTAGACAGAAGCATTCTCAGAAACTTATTTGTGATGTGCGCCCTCAACTAACAGTGTTGAAGCTTTCTTTTGATAGAGCAGTTTTGAAACACTCTTTTTGTGGAATCTGCAAGTGGATATTTGTCTAGCTTTGAGGATTTCGTTGGAAACGGGATTACATATAAAAAGCAGACAGCAGCATTCTCAGAAACTTATTTGTGATGTGCGCCCTCAACTAACAGTGTTGAAGCTTTATTTTGATAGAGCAGTTTTGAAACACTCTTTTTGTAATATCTGCAAGAGAATATTTGGATAGCTTTGAGGATTTCGTTGGAAACGGGATTGTCTTCATATAAACTCTAGAAAGAAGCATTCTCAGAAGCTTCATTGGGATGTTTCAATTGAAGTCACAGTGTTGAACAGTCCCTTTCATAGAGCAGGTTTGAAACACTCTTTTTGTAGTATCTGGAAGTGGACATTTGGAGCGCTCTCAGGACTACGGTGAAAAAGGAAATATCTTCCAATAAAAGCTAGATAGAAGCAATGTCAGAAACTTTTTCATGATGTATCTACTCAGCTAACAGAGTTGAACCTTTTTTTTGAGAGAGCAGTTTTGAAACACTCTTTTTGTTCGATCTGCAGGTGGATATTTGTCTAGGTTTGAGGATTTCGTTGGAAACGGGATTACATATAAAAAGCAGACAGCAGCATTCCCAGAAACTTCTTTGTGATGTTTGCATTCAAGTCACAGAGGTGAACATTCCCTTTCATAGAGCAGGTTTGAAACACTCTTTTTGTAGTATCTGGATGTGGACATTTGGTGCGCTCTCAGGCCTATGGTGAAAAAGGAAATATCTTCCCCTGAAAACTAGACAGAAGCATTCTCAGAAACTTATTTGTGATGTGCGCCCTCAACTAACAGTGTTGAACCTTTCTTTTGATAGAGCAGTTTTGAAACACTCTTTTTGTAATATCTGCAAGAGGATATTTGGATAGCTTTGAGGATTTCGTTGGAAACGGGATTACATATAAAAAGCAGACAGCAGCATTCCCAGTAACTTCTTTGTGACGTTTGCATTCAAGTCACAGAGTTGAACATTCCCTTTCATAGAGCAGGTTTGAAACACTCTTTTTGTAGTATCTGGATGTGGACATTTGGAGCGCTTTCAGGCCTATGGTGAAAAAGGAAATATCTTCCCCTGAAAACTAGACAGAAGCATTCTCAGAATCTTATTTGTGATGTGCGCCATCAACTAACAGTGTTGAAGCTTTCTTTTGATAGAGCAGTTTTGAAACACTCTTTTTGTAAAATCTGCAAGAGGATATTTGGATAGCTTTGAGGATTTCGTTGGAAACGGGATTGTCTTCATATAAACTCTAGACAGAAGCATTCTCAGAAGCGTCATTGGGATGTTTCAATTGAAGTCACAGTGTTGAACATTCCCTTTCATAGAGCAGGTTTGAAACACTCTTTTTGTAGTATCTGGATGTGGACATTTGGAGCGCTTTCAGGCCTATGGTTTAAAAGGAAGTATCTTCCCCTGAAAACTAGACAGAAGCATTCTCAGAAACTTATTTGTGATGTGCGCCCTCAACTAACAGTGTTGAAGCTTTCTTTTGATAGAGCAGTTTTGAAACACTCTTTTTGTGGAATCTGCAAGTGGATATTTGTCTAGCTTTGAGGATTTCGTTGGAAACGGGATTACATATAAAAAGCAGACAGCAGCATTCTCAGTAAACTTATTTGTGATGTGCGCCCTCAACTAACAGTGTTGAACCTTTCTTTTGATAGAGCAGTTTTGAAACACTCTTTTTGTAATATCTGCAAGAGGATATTTGGATAGCTTTGAGGATTTCGTTGGAAACGGGATTGTCTTCATATAAACTCTAGACAGAAGCATTCTCAGAAGCTTCATTGGGATGTTTCAATTGAAGTCACAGTGTTGAACAGTCCCTTTCATAGAGCAGGTTTGAAACACTCTTTTTGTAGTATGTGGAAGTGGACATTTGGAGCGCTCTCAGGACTACGGTGAAAAAGGAAATATCTTCCAATAAAAGCTACATAGAAGCAATGTCAGAAACTTTTTCATGATGTATCTACTCAGCTAAAAGAGTTGAACCTTTCTTTTCTGAGAGCAGTTTTGAAACACTATTTTTGTGGAATCTGCAAGTGGATATTTGTCTAGCTTTGAGGATTCCGTTGGAAACGGGATTACATAGAAAAAGCAGACAGCAGCATTCCCAGAATCTTGTTTGTGATGTTTCCATTCAAGTCACAGAGTTGAACATTCTCTTTCACAGAGCAGGTTTGAAACACTCTTTTTATAGTATCTGGATGTGGACATTTGGAGCGCTTTCAGGCCTATGGTGAAAAAGGAAATATCTTCTCCTGAAAACTAGACAGAAGCATTCTCAGAATCTTATTTGTGATGTGCGCCCTCAACTAACAGTGTTGAAGCTTTCTTTTGATAGAGCAGTTTTGAAACACTCTTTTCGTAAAATCTGCAAGAGGATATTTGGATAGCTTTGAGGATTTCGTTGGAAACGGGATTGTCTTCATATAAACTCTAGACAGAAGCATTCTCAGAAGCTTCATTGGGATGTTTCAATTGAAGTCACAGTGTTGAACAGTCCCTTTCATAGAGCAGGTTTGAAACACTCTTTTTGTAGTATCTGGAAGTGGACATTTGGAGAGATCTCAGGAATACGGTGAAAAAGGAAATATCTTCTCCTGAAAACTAGACAGAAGCATTCTCAGAAACTTATTTGTGATGTGCGCCCTCAACTAACAGTGTTGAAGCTTTCTTTTGATAGAGCAGTTTTGAAACACTCTTTTTGTAATATCTGCAAGAGGATATTTGGATAGCTTTGAGGATTTCGTTGGAAACGGGATTGTCTTCATATAAACTCTAGACAGAAGCATTCTCAGAAGCTTCATTGGGATGTTTCAATTGAAGTCACAGTGTTGAACAGTCCCTTTCATAGAGCAGGTTTGAAACACTCTTTTTGTAGTATCTGGAAGTGGACATTTGGAGAGATCTCAGGAATACGGTGATAAAGGAAATATCTTCCAATAAAAGCTAGATAGAAGCAATGTCAGAAACTTTTTCATGATGTATCTACTCAGCTAACAGAGTTGAACTTTTCTTTTGAGAGAGCAGTTTTGAAACACTCTTTTTGTGGAATCTGCAAGTGGATATTTGTCTAGCTTTGAGGATTTCGTTGGAAATGGGATTACATATAAAAAGCAGACAGCAGCATTCCCAGAAACTTCTTTGTGATGTTTGCATTCAAGTCACAGAGTTGAACATTCCCTTTCATAGAGCAGGTTTGAAACACTCTTTTTGTAGTATCTGGATGTGGACATTTGGAGCGCTTTCAAGCCTATGGTGAAAAAGGAAATATCTTCCCCTGAAAACTAGACAGAAGCATTCTCAGGAACTTATTTGTGATGTGCGCCCTCAACTAACAGTGTTGAAGCTTTCTTTTGATAGAGCAGTTTTGAAACACTCTTTTTGTGGAATCTGCAAGTGGATATTTGTCTAGCTTTGAGGATTTCGATGGAAACGGGATTACATATAAAAAGCAGACAGCTGCATTCCCAGAAACTTCTTTGTGATGTTTGCATTCAAGTCACAGAGTTGAACATTCCCTTTCATAGAGCAGGCTTGAAACACTCTTTTTGTAGTATCTGGATGTGGACATTTGGAGCGCTTTCAGGCCTATGGTGAAAAAGGAAATATCTTCCCCTGAAAACTAGACAGAAGCATTCTCAGAAACTTATTTGTGATGTGCGCCCTCAACTAACAGTGTTAAACCTTTCTTTTGATAGAGTAGTTTTGAAACACTCTTTTTGTAAAATCTGCAAGAGGATATTTGGATAGCTTTGAGGATTTCGTTGGAAACGGGATTGTCTTCATATAAAATCTAGACAGAAGAATTCTCAGAAGCTTCATTGGGATGTTTCAATTGAAGTCACAGTGTTGAACAGTCCCTTTCATAGAGCAGGTTTGAAACACTCTTTTTGTAGTATCTGGATGTGGACATTTGGAGCTTTTGCAGGCCTATAGTTTAAAAGGAAATATCTTCCCCTGAAAACTAGACAGAAGCATTCTCAGAAACTTATTTGTGATGTGCGCCCTCAACTAACAGTGTTGAAGCATTCTTTTGATAGAGCAGTTTTGAAAAACTCTTTTTGTGGAATCTGCAAGTGGATATTTGTCTAGCTTTGAGGATTTCGTTGGAAACGGGATTACATATAAAAAGCAGACAGCAGCATTCCCAGAATCTTGTTTGTGATGTTTGCATTCAAGTCACAGTGTTGAACATTCCCTTTCAGAGAGCAGGTTTGAAACACTCTTTTTATAGTATCTGGATGTGGACATTTGGAGCGCTTTCAGGCCTATGGTGAAAAAGGAAATATCTTCTCCTGAAATCTAGACAGAAGCATTCTCAGAATCTTATTTGTGATGTGCGCCCTCAACTAACAGTGTTGAAGCTTTCTTTTGATGGAGCAGTTTTGGAACACTCTTTTTGTAAAATCTGCAAGAGGATATTTGGATAGCTTTGAGGATTTCGTTGGAAACGGGACTGTCTTCATATAAACTCTAGACAGAAGCATTCTCAGAAGCTTCATTGGGATGTTTCAATTGAAGTCACAGTGTTGAACAGTCCCTTTCATAGAGCAGGTTTGAAACACTCTTTTTGTAGTATCTGGAAGTTGACATTTGGAGCGTTCTCAGGACTACGGTGAAAAAGGAAATATCTTCCAATAAAAGCTAGATAGAAGCAATGTCAGAAACATTTTCATGATGTATCTACTCAGCTAACAGAGTTGAAACTTTCTTTTGAGAGAGCAGTTTTGAAACACTCTTTTGGTGGAATCTGCAAGTGGATATTTGTCTAGCTTTGAGGATTTCGTTGGAAACGGGATTACATATAAAAAGCAGACAGCAGCATTCCCAGAAACTTCTTTGTGATGTTTGCATTCAAGTCACACAGTTGAACATTCCCTTTCATAGAGCAGGTTTGAAACACTCTTTTTGTAGTATCTGCATGTGGACATTTGGAGCGCTTTCAGGTCTATGGTGAAAAAGGAAATATCTTCCCCTGAAAACTAGACAGAAGCATTCTCAGAATCTTATTTGTGATGTGCGCCCTCAATTAACAGTGTTGAAGCTTTCTTTTGATAGAGCAGTTTTGAAACACTCTTTTTGTAAAATCTGCAAGAGGATATTTGGATAGCTTTGAGGATTTCGTTGGAAACGGGATTGTCTTCATATAAACTCTAGACAGAAGCATTCTCAGAAGCTTCATTGGGATGTTTCAATTGAAGTCACAGTGTTGAACAGTCCCTTTCATAGAGCAGGTTTGAAACACTCTTTTTGTAGTATCTGGATGTGGACATTTGGAGTGCTTTCAGGCCTATGGTTTAAAAGGAAATATCTTCCCCTGAAAACTGGACAGAAGCATTCTCAGAAACTTATTTGTGATGTGCGCCCTCAACTAACAGTGTTGAAGCATTCTTTTGATAGAGCAGTTTTGAAACACTCTTTTTGTGGAATCTGCAAGTAGATATTTGTCTAGATTTGAGGATTTCGTTGGAAACGGGATTACATATAAAAAGCAGACAGCAGCATTCTCAGAATCTTATTTGTGATGTGCGCCCTCAGCTAACAGTGTTGAAGCTTTCTTTTGATAGAGCAGTTTTGAAACAGTCTTTTTGTAAAATCTGCAAGAGGATATTTGGATAGCTTTGAGGATTTCATTGGAAACGGGATTTTCTTCATATAAACTCAAGACAGAAGCATTCTCAGAAGCTTCATTGGGATGATTCAATTGAAGTCACAGTGTTGAAAAGTCCCTTTCATAGAGCAGGTTTGAAACACTCTTTTTGTAGTATCTGGAATTGGACATTTGGAGCGCTCTCAGGACTACGGTGAAAAAGGAAATATCTTCCAATAAAAGCTACATAGAAGCAATGTCAGAAACTTTTTCATGATGTATGTACTCAGCTAACAGAGTTGAACCTTCATTTGAGAGAGCAGTTTTGAAACACTCGTTTTGTGGAATCTGCAAGTGGATATTTGTCTAGCTTTGAGGATTTCGTTGGAAACGGGATTACATATAAAAAGCAGACAGCAGCATTCCCAGAAATTTCTTTGTGAAATTTGCATTCAAGTCACAGACTTGAACATTCCCTTTCATAGAGCAGGTTTGAAACACTCTTTTTGTAGTATCTGGATGTGGACATTTGGAGCGCTTTCAGGCCTATGGTGAAAAAGGAAATATCTTCCCCTGAAAACTAGACAGAAGCATTCTCAGAAACTTATTTGTGATGTGCGCCCTCAACTAACAGTGTTGAACCTTTCTTTTGATAGAGCAGTTTTGAAACACTCTTTTTGTAAAATCTGCAAGAGGATATTTGGATAGCTTTGAGGATTTCGTTGGAAACGGGATTGTCTTCATATAAACTCTAGACAGAAGCATTCTCAGAAGCTTCATTGGGATGTTTCAATTGAAGTCACAGTGTTGAACAGTCCCTTTCATAGAGCAGGTTTGAAACACTCTTTTTGTAGTATCTGGATGTGGACATTTGGAGCGCTTTCAGGCCTATGGTGAAAAAGGAAATATCTTCCCCTGAAAACTAGACAGAAGCATTCTCAGAATCTTATTTGTGATGTGCGCCCTCAACTAACAGTGTTGAAGCTTTCTTTTGATAGAGCAGTTTTGAAACACTCTTTTTGTAAAATCTGCAAGAGGATATTTGGATAGCTTTGAGGATTTCGTTGGAAACGGGATTGTCTTCATATAAACTCTAGACAGAAGTATTCTCAGAAGCTTCATTGGGATGTTTCAATTGAAGTCACAGTGTTGAACAGTCCCTTTCATAGAGCAGGTTTGAAACACTCTTTTTGTAGTATCCGGATGTGGACATTTGGAGCGCTTTCAGGCCTATGGTGAAAAAGGAAATATCTTCCCCTGAAAACTAGACAGAAGCATTCTCAGAAACTTATTTGTGATGTGCGCCCTCAACTAACAGTGTTGAAGCTTTCTTTTGATAGAGCAGTTTTGAAACACTCTTTTTGTGGAATCTGCAAGTGGATATTTGTCTAGCTTTGAGGATTTCGTTGGAAACGGGATTACATATAAAAAGCAGACAGCAGCATTCTCAGAAACTTATTTGTGATGTGCGCCCTCAACTAACAGTGTTGAAGCTTTCTTTTGATAGAGCAGTTTTGAAACACTCTTTTTGTAATATCTGCAAGAGGATATTTGGATAGCTTTGAGGATTTCGTTGGAAACGGGATTAATTATACAAAGCAGACAGCAGCATTCTCAGAAGCTTCATTGGGAGGTTTCAATTGAAGTCACAGTGTTGAACAGTCCCTTTCATAGAGCAGGTTTGAAACACTCTTTTTGTAGTATCTGGAAGTGGACATTTGGAGCGCTCTCAGGACTGCGGTGAAAAAGGAAATATCTTCCAATAAAAGCTAGATAGAAGCAATGTCAGAAACTTTTTCATGATGTATCTACTCAGGTAACAGAGTTGAACCTTCATTTGAGAGAGCAGTTTTGAAACACTCGTTTTGTGGAATCTGCAAGTGGATATTTGTCTAGCTTTGAGGATTTCGTTGGAAACGGGATTACATATAAAAAGCAGACAGCAGCATTCCCAGTAACTTCTTTGTGATGTTTGCATTCAAGTCACAGAGTTGAACATTGCCTTTCATAGAGCAGGTTTCAAACACTCTTTTTGTAGTATCTGGATGTGGACATTTGGAGCGCTTTCAGGCCTATGGTGAAAAAGGAAATATCTTCCCCTGAAAACTAGACAGAAGCATTCTCAGAATCTTATTTGTGATGTGCGCCCTCAACTAACAGTGTTGAAGCTTTCTTTTGATAGAGCAGTTTTGAAACACTCTTTTTGTAAAATCTGCAAGAGGATATTTGGATAGCTTTGAGGATTTCGTTGGAAACGGGATTGTCTTCATATAAACTCTAGACAGAAGCATTCTCAGAAGCTTCATTGGGATGTTTCAATTGAAGTCACAGTGTTGAACAGTCCCTTTCATAAAGCAGGTTTCAAACACTCTTTTTGTAGTATCTGGATGTGGACATTTGGAGCGCTTTCAGGCCTATGGTTTAAAAGGAAATATCTTCCCCTGAAAACTAGACAGAAGCATTCTCAGAAACTTATTTGTGATGTGCGCCCTCAACTAACAGTGTTGAAGCTTTCTTTTGATAGAGCAGCTTTGAAACACTCTTTTTGTGGAATCTGCAAGTGGATATTTGTCTAGCTTTGAGGATTTCGTTGGAAACGGGATTACATATAAAAAGCAGACAGCAGCATTCTCAGAAACTTATTTGTGATGTGCGCCCTCAACTAACACTGTTGAACATTTCTTTTGATAGAGCAGTTTTGAAACACTCTTTTTGTAAAATCTGCAAGAGGATATTTGGATAGCTTTGAGGATTTCGTTGGAAACGGGATTGTCTTCATATAAAATCTAGACAGAAGCATTCTCAGAAGCTTCATTGGGATGTTTCAATTGAAGTCACAGTGTTGAACAGTCCCTTTCATAGAGCAGGTTTGAAACACTCTTTTTGTAGTATCTGGAAGTGGACATTTGGAGAGATCTCAGGAATACGGTGATAAAGGAAATATCTTCCAATAAAAGCTAGATAGAAGCAATGTCAGAAACTTTTTCATGATGTATCTACTCAGCTAACAGAGTTGAACCTTTCTTTTGAGAGAGCAGTTTTGAAACACTCTTTTTGTGGAATCTGCAAGTGGATATTTGTCTAGCTTTGAGGATTTCGTTGGAAACGGGATTACATATAAAAAGCAGACAGCAGCATTCCCAGTAACTTCTTTGTGATGTTTGCATTCAAGTCACAGAGTTGAACATTCCCTTTCATAGAGCAGTTTTGAAACACTCTTTTTGTAGTATCTGGATGTGGACATTTGGAGCGCTTTCAGGCCTATGGTGAAAAAGGAAATATCTTCCCCTGAAAACTAGACAGAAGCATTCTCAGAAACTTATTTGTGATGTGCGCCCTCAACTAACAGTGTTGAACCTTTGTTTTGATAGAGCAGTTTTGAAACACTCTTTTTGTAAAATCTGCAAGAGGATATTTGGATAGCTTTGAGGATTTCGTTGGAAACGGGATTGTCTTCATATAAAATCTAGACAGAAGCACTCTCGGAAGCTTCATTGGGATGTTTCAATTGAAGTCACAGTGTTGAACAGTCCCTTTCATAGAGCAGGTTTGAAACACTCTTTTTGTAGTATCTGGATGTGGACATTTGGAGCGCTTTCAGGCCTAAGGTGAAAAAGGAAGTATCTTCCCCTGAAAACTAGACAGAAGCATTCTCAGAAACTTATTTGTGATGTGCGCCCTCAACTAACAGTGTTGAAGCTTTCTTTTGATAGAGCAGTTTTGAAACACTCTTTTTGTGGAATCTGCAAGTGGATATTTGTCTAGCTTTGAGGATTTCGTTGGAAACGGGATTACATATAAAAAGCAGACAGCAGCATTCTCAGAAACTTATTTGTGATGTGCGCCCTCAACTAACAGTGTTGAAGCTTTATTTTGATAGAGCAGTTTTGAAACACTCTTTTTGTAATATCTGCAAGAGAATATTTGGATAGCTTTGAGGATTTCGTTGGAAACGGGATTGTCTTCATATAAACTCTAGAAAGAAGCATTCTCAGAAGCTTCATTGGGATGTTTCAATTGAAGTCACAGTGTTGAACAGTCCCTTTCATAGAGCAGGTTTGAAATACTCTTTTTGTAGTATCTGGAAGTGGACATTTGGAGAGATCTCAGGAATACGGTGATAAAGGAAATATCTTCCAATAAAAGCTAGATAGAAGCAATGTCAGAAAATTTTTCATGATGTATCTACTCAGCTAACAGAATTGAACCTTTCTTTTGAGAGAGCAGTTTTGAAACACTCTTTTTGTGGAATCTGCAAGTGGATATTTGTCTAGCTTTGAGGATTTCGTTGGAAACGGGATTACATATAAAAAGCAGACAGCAGCATTCCCAGAAACTTCTTTGTGATGTTTGCATTCAAGTCACAGAGTTGAACATTCCCTTTCATAGAGCAGGTTTGAAACACTCTTTTTGTAGTATCTGGATGTGGACATTTGGAGCGCTCTCAGGCCTATGGTGAAAAAGGAAATATCTTCCCCTGCAAACTAGACAGAAGCATTCTCAGAAACTTATTTGTGATGTGCGCCCTCAACTAACAATGTTGAACCTTTCTGTTGATAGAGTAGTTTTGAAACACTCTTTTTGTAAAATCTGCAAGAGGATATTTGGATAGCTTTGAGGATTTCGTTTGAAACGGGATTGTCTTCATATTAACCCTAGACAGTAGCATTCTCAGAAGGTTCATTGGGATGTTTCAATTGAAGTCACAGTGTTGAACAGTCACTTTCATAGAGCAGGTTTGAAACACTCTTTTTGTAGCATCTGGAAGTGGACATTTGGAGCGCTCTCAGGACTACGGTGAAAAAGGAAATATCTTCCAATAAAAGCTAGATAGAAGCAAGGTCAGAAACTTTTTCATGATGTATCTACTCAGCTAACAGAGTTGAACCTTTCTTTTGAGAGAGCAGTTTTGAAACACTCTTTTTGTGGAATCTGCAAGTGGATATTTTTCTAGCTTTGAGGATTTCGTTGGAAACGGGATTACATATAAAAAGCAGACAGCAGCATTCCCAGTAACTTCTTTGTGATGTTTGCATTCAAGTCACAGAGTTGAACATTCCCTTTCATACAGCAGGTTTGAAACACTCTTTTTGTAGTATCTGGATGTGGACATTTGGAGCGCTTTCAGGCCTATGGTGAAAAAGGAAATATCTTCCCCTGAAAACTAGACAGAAGCATTCTCAGAAACTTATTTGTGATGTGAGCCCTCAACTAACAGTGTTGAACCTTTCTTTTGATAGAGCAGTTTTGAAACACTCTTTTTGTAAAATCTGCAAGAGGATATTTGGATAGATTTGAGGATTTCGTTGGAAACGGGATTGTCTTCATATAGAATCTAGACAGAAGCATTCTCAGAAGCTTCATTCGGATGTTTCAATTGAAGTCACAGTGTTGAACAGTCCCTTTCATAGAGCATGTTTGAAACACTCTTTTTGTAGTATCTGGAAGTGGACATTTGGAGCGTTCTCAGGACTACAGTGAAAAAGGAAATATCTTCCAATAAAAGCTAGATAGAAGCAATGTCAGAAAATTTTTCATGATGTATCTACTCAGCTAACAGAGTTGAACCTTTCTTTTGAGAGAGCAGTTTTGAAACACTCTTTTTGTGGAATCTGCAAGTGGATATTTGTCTAGTTTTGAGGATTGCGTTGGAAACGGGATTACATATAAAAAGCCGACAGCAGCATTCCCAGAAACTTCTTTGTGATATTTGCATTCAAGTCACGGACTTGAACATTCCCTTTCATAGAGCAGGTTTGAAACACTCTTTTTGTAGTATCTGGATGTGGACATTTGGAGCGCTTTCAGGCCTATGGTGAAAAAGGAAATATCTTCCCCTGCAAACTAGATAGAAGCATTCTCAGAATCTTATTTGTGATGTGCGCCCTCAACTAACAGTGTTGAAGCTTTCTTTTGATAGAGCAGTTTTGAAACACTCTTTTTGTAAAATCTGCAAGAGGATATTTGGATAGCATTGAGAATTTCATTGGAAACGGGATTGTCTTCATATAAACTCTAGACAGAAGCATTCTCAGAAGCTTCATTGGGATGTTTCAATTGAAGTCACAGTGTTGAACAGTCCCTTTCATAGAGCAGGTTTGAAACACTCTTTTTGTAGTATCTGGATGTGGACATTTGGAGCGCTTTCAGGCCTATGGTGAAAAAGGAAATATCTTCCCCTGAAAACTAGACAGAAGCAATGTCAGAAACTTTTTCATGATGTACCTACTCAGCTAACAGAGTTGAACCTTTCTTTTGAGAGAACAGTTTTGAAACACTCTTTTTGTGGAATCTGCAAGTGGATATTTGTCTAGCTTTGAGGATTTCGTTGCAAACGGGATTACATAGAAAAAGCAGACAGCAGCATTCCCAGTAACTTCTTTGTGATGTTTTCATTCAAGTCACAGAGTTGAACATTCCCTTTCATAGAGCAGGTTTGAAACACTCTTTTTATAGTATCTGGATGTGGACATTTGCAGCGCTTTCAGGCCTAAGGTGAAAAAGGAAATATCTTCCCCTGAAAACTAGACAGAAGCATTCTCAGAAACTTATTTGTGATGTGCGCCCTCAACTAACAGTGTTGAACCTTTCTTTTGATAGAGCAGTTTTGAAACACTCTTTTTGTAATATCTGCAAGAGGATATTTGGATAGCTTTGAGGATTTCGTTGGAAACGGGATTGTCTTCATATAAACTCTAGACAGAAGCATTCTCAGAAGCTTCATTGGGATGTTTCAATTGAAGTCACAGTGTTGAACAGTTCCTTTCATAGAACAGGTTTGAAACACTCTTTTTGTAGTATCTGGAAGTGGACATTTGGAGCGCTCTCAGGACTATGGTGAAAAAGGAAATATCTTCCAATAAAAGCTACATAGAAGCAATGTCAGAAACTTTTTCATGATGTATCTACTCAGCTAACAGAGTTGAACCTTTCCTTTGAGAGAGCAGTTTTGAAACACTCTTTTTGTGGAATCTGCAAGTGGATATTTGTCTAGCTTTGAGGATTTCGTTGGAAACGGGATTACATATAAAAAGCAGACAGCAGCATTCCCAGTAACTTCTTTGTGATGGTTGCATTCAAGTCACAGAGTTGAACATTCCCTTTCATAGAGCAGGTTTGAAACACTCTTTTTGAAGTATCTGGATGTGGACATTTGGAGCGCTTTCAGGCCTATGGTTAAAAAGGAAATATCTTCCCCTGAAAACTAGACAGAAGCATTCTCAGAAACTTATTTGTGATGTGCGCCCTCAACTAACAGTGTTGAACCTTTCTTTTGATAGAGCAGTTTTGAAACACTCTTTTTGTAATATCTGCAAGAGGATATTTGGATAGCTTTGAGGATTTCGTTGGAAACGGGATTACATATAAAAAGCAGACAGCAGCATTCCCAGAATCTTGTTTGTCATGTTTGCATTCAAGTCACAGAGTTGAACATTCCCTTTCAGAGAGCAGGTTTGAAACACTCTTTTTATAGTATCTGGATGTGGACATTTGGAGCGCTTTCAGGCCTATGGTGAAAAAGGAAATATCTTCTCCTGAAAACTAGACAGAAGCATTCTCAGAAACTAATTTGTGATGTGCGCCCTCAACTAACAGTGTTGAAGCTTTCTTTTGATAGAGCAGTTTTGAGACACTCTTTTTGTACAATCTGCAAGAGGATATTTGGATAGCTTTGAGGATTTCGTTGGAAACGGGATTGTCTTCATATAAACTCTAGACAGAAGCATTCTCAGAAGCGTCATTGGGATGTTTCAATTGAAGTCACAGTGTTGAACAGTCCCTTTCATAGAGCAGGTTTGAAACACTCTTTTTGTAGTATCTGGATGTGGACATTTGGAGCGCTTTCAGGCCTATGGTTTAAAAGGAAATATCTTCCCTTGAAAACTAGACAGAAGCATTCTCAGAAACTTATTTGTGATGTGCGCCCTCAACTAACAGTGTTGAAGCTTTCTTTTGATAGAGCAGTTTTGAAACACTCTTTTTGTGGAATCTGCAAGTGGATATTTGTCTAGCTTTGAGGATTTCGTTGGAAACGGGATTACATATAAAAAGCAGACAGCAGCATTCCCAGAATCTTCTTTGTGATGTTTGCATTCAAGTCACAGAGTTGAACATTCCCTTTCAGAGAGCAGGTTTGAAACACTCTTTTTATAGTATCTGGATGTGGACATTTGGAGCGCTTTCAGGCCTACGGTGAAAAAGGAAATATCTTCTCCTGAAAACTAGACAGAAGCATTCTCAGAATCTTATTTGTGATGTGCGCCCTCAACTAACAGTGTTGAAGCTTTCTTTTGATAGAGCAGTTTTGAAACACTCTTTTTGTAAAATCTGCAAGAGGATATTTGGATAGCTTTGAGGATTTCGTTGGAAACGGGATTGTCTTCATATAAACTCTAGACAGAAGCATTCTCAGAAGCTTCATTGGGATGTTTCAATTGAAGTCACAGTGTTGAACAGTCCCTTTCATAGAGCAGGTTTGAAACACTCTTTTTGTAGTATCTGGAATTGGACATTTGGAGAGATCTCAGGAATACGGTTATAAAGGAAATATCTTCCAATAAAAGCTAGATAGAAGCATTCTCAGAAACTTATTTGTGATGTGCGCCCTCAACTAACAGTGTTGAAGCTTTCTTTTGATAGAGCAGTTTTGAAACACTCTTTTTGTAATATCTGCAAGAGGATATTTGGATAGCTTTGAGGATTTCGTTGGAAACGGGATTAATTATAAAAAGCAGACAGCAGCATTCCCAGTAACTTCTTTGTGATGTTTGCATTCAACTCACAGAGTTGAACATTCCCTTTCATAGAGCAGGTTTGAAACACTCTTTTTGTAGTATCTGGATGTGGACATTTGGAGCGCTTTCAGGCCTATGGTGAAAAAGGAAATATCTTCCCCAGAAAACTAGACAGAAGCATTCTCAGAATCTTATTTGTGATGTGCGCCCTCAACTAACAGTGTTGAAGCTTTCTTTTGATAGAGCAGTTTTGAAACACTCTTTTCGTAAAATCTGCAAGAGGATATTTTGATAGCTTTGAGGATTTCGTTGGAAACGGGATTGTCTTCATATAAACTCTAGACAGAAGCATTCTCAGAAGCTTCATTGGGATGTTTCAATTGAAGTCACAGTGTTGAACAGTCCCTTTGATAGAGCAGGTTTGAAACACTCTTTTTGTAGTATCTGGAAGTGGACATTTGGAGAGATCTCAGGAATACGGTGATAAAGGAAATATCTTCCAATAAAAGCTAGATAGAAGCAATGTCAGAAACTTTTTCATGATGTATCTACTCAGCTAACAGAGTTGAACCTTTCTTTTGAGAGAGCAGTTTTGAAACACTCTTTTTGTGGAATCTGCAAGTGGATATTTGTCTAGCTTTGAGGATTTCGTTGGAAACAGGTTTACATATAAAAAGCAGACAGCAGCATTCCCAGAAACTTCTTTGTGATGTTTGCATTCACGTCACAGAGTTGAACATTCCCTTTCATAGAGCAGGTTTGAAACACTCTTTTTGTAGTATCTGGATGTGGACATTTGGAGCGCTCTCAGGCCTATGGTGAAAAAGGAAATATCTTCCCCTGCAAACTAGACAGAAGCATTCTCAGAAACTTATTTGTGATGTGCGCCGTCAACTAACAGTGTTGAACCTTTCTTTTGATAGAGTAGTTTTGAAACACTCTTTTTGTAAAATCTGCAAGAGGATATTTGGATAGCTTTGAGTATTTCGTTGGAAACGGGATTGTCTTCATATAAACTCTAGACAGTAGCATTCTCAGAAGCGTCATTGGGATGTTTCAATTGAAGTCACAGTGTTGAACAGTCCCTTTCATAGAGCAGGTTTGAAACACTCTTTTTGTAGTATCTGGATGTGGACATTTGGAGCGCTTTCAGGCCTATGGTTTAAAAGGACATATCTTCCCCTGAAAACTAGACAGAAGCATTCTCAGAAACTTATTTGTGATGTGCGCCTTCAACTAACAGTGTTGAAGCATTCTTTTGATAGAGCAGTTTTGAAACACTCTTTTTGTGGAATCTGCAAGTGGATATTTGTCTAGCTTTGAGGATTTCGTTGGAAACGGGATTACATATAAAAAGCAGACAGCAGCATTCCCAGAAACTTCTTTGTGATGTTTGCATTCAAGTCACAGAGTTGAACATTCCCTTTCAGAGAGCAGGTTTGAAACACTCTTTTTGTAGTATCTGGATGTGGACATTTGGAGCGCTTTCAGGCCTATGGTGAAAAAGGAAATATCTTCCCCTGAAAACTAGACAGAAGCATTCTCAGAATCTTATTTGTGATGTGCGCCCTCAACTAACAGTGTTGAAGCTTTCTTTTGATAGAGCAGTTTTGAAACACTCTTTTTGTAAAATCTGCAAGAGGATATTTGGATAGCTTTGAGGATTTCGTTGGAAACGGGATTGTCTTCATATAAACTCTAGACAGAAGCATTCTCAGAAGCGTCATTGGGATGTTTCAATTGAAGTCACAGTGTAGAACATTCCCTTTCATAGAGCAGGTTTGAAACACTCTTTTTGTAGTATCTGGATGTGGACATTTGGAGCGCTTTCAGGCCTGTGGTTTAAAAGGAAATATCTTCCCCTGAAAACTAGACAGAAGCATTCTCAGAAACTTATTTGTGATGTGCGCCCTCAACTAACAGTGTTGAAGCATTCTTTTGATAGAGCAGTTTTGAAAAACTCTTTTTGTGGAATCTGCAAGTGGATATTTGTCTAGCTTTGAGGATTTCGTTGGAAACGGGATTACATATAAAAAGCAGACAGCAGCATTCTCAGAAACTTATTTGTGATGTGCGCCCTCAACTAACAGTGTTGAAGCTTTCTTTTGATAGAGCAGTTTTGAAACACTCTTTTTGTAATATCTGCAAGAGGATATTTGGATAGCTTTGAGGATTTCGTTGGAAACGGGATTAATTATACAAAGCAGACAGCAGCATTCCCAGAAGCTTCATTGGGATGTTTCAATTGAAGTCACAGTGTTGAACAGTCCCTTTCATAGAGCAGGTTTGAAACACTCTTTTTGTAGTATCTGGAAGTGGACATTTGGAGAGATCTCAGGAATACGGTGAATAAAGGAAATATCTTCCAATAAAAGCTAGATAGAAGCAATGTCAGAAACTTTTTCATGATGTATCTACTCAGCTAACAGAGTTGAACCTTTCTTTTGAGAGAGCAGTTTTGAAACACTCTTTTTGTGGAATCTGCAAGTGGATATTTGTCTAGCTTTGAGGATTTCGTTGGAAACGGGATTACATATAAAAAGCAGACAGCAGCATTCCCAGTAACTTCTTTGTGATGTTTGCATTCAAGTCACAGAGTTGAACATTCCCTTTCATAGAGCAGGTTTGAAACACTCTTTTTGTAGTATCTGGATGTGGACATTTGTAGCGCTTTCAGGCCTATGGTGAAAAAGGAAATATCTTCCCCTGAAAACTAGACAGAAGCATTCTCAGAAACTTATTTGTGATGTGCGCCCTCAACTAACAGTGTTGAAGCTTTCTTTTGATAGAGCAGTTTTGAAACACTCTTTTTGTAATATCTGCAAGAGGATATTTGGATAGCTTTGAGGATTTCGTTGGAAACGGGATTGTCTTCATATAAACTCTAGACAGAAGCATTCTCAGAAGCTTCATTGGGATGTTTCAATTGAAGTCACAGTGTTGAACAGTCCCTTTCATAGAGCAGGTTTGAAACACTCTTTTTGTAGTATCTGGAAGTGGACATTTGGAACGCTCTCAGGACTGCGGTGAAAAAGGAAATATCTTCCAATAAAAGCTAGATAGAAGCAATGTCAGAAACTTTTTCATGATGTATCTACTCAGCTAACAGAGTTGAACCTTTCTTTTGAGAGAGCAGTTTTGAAACACTCTTTTTGTAAAATCTGCAAGAGGATATTTGGATAGCTTTGAGGATTTCGTTGGAAACGGGATTGTCTTCATATAAACTCTAGACAGAAGCATTCCCAGAAACTTCTTTGTGAAGTTTGCATTCAAGTCACAGTGTTGAACAGTCCCTTTCATAGAGCAAGTTTGAAACACACTTTTTGTAGTATCTGGATGTGGACATTTAGAGCGTTTGCAGGCCTATGGTTTAAAAGGAAATATCTTCCCCTGAAAACTAGACAGAAGCATTCTCAGAAACTTATTTGTGATGTGCGCCCTCAACTAACAGTGTTGAAGCATTCTTTTGATAGAGCAGTTTTGAAAAACTCTTTTTGTGGAATCTGCAAGTGGATATTTGTCTAGCTTTGAGGATTTCGTTGGAAACGGGATTACATATAAAAAGCAGACAGCAGCATTCTCAGTAAACTTATTTGTGATGTGCGCCCTCAACTAACAGTGTTGAACCTTTCTTTTGATAGAGCAGTTTTGAAACACTCTTTTTGTAATATCTGCAAGAGGATATTTGGATAGCTTTGAGGATTTCGTTGGAAACGGGATTGTCTTCATATAAACTCTAGACAGAAGCATTCTCAGAAGCTTCATTGGGAAGTTTCAATTGAAGTCACAGTGTTGAACAGTCCCTTTCATAGAGCAGGTTTGAAACACTCTTTTTGTAGTATCTGGAAGTGGACATTTGGAGAGATCTCAGGAATACGGTGATAAAGGAAATATCTTCCAATAAAAGCTAGATAGAAGCAATGTCAGAAACTTTTTCATGATGTATCTACTCAGCTAACAGAGTTGAACCTTTCTTTTGAGAGAGCAGTTTTGAAACACTCTTTTTGTGGAATCTGCAAGTGGATATTTGTCTAGATTTGAGGATTTCGTTGGAAACGGGATTACATATAAAAAGCAGACAGCAGCATTCCCAGAAACTTCTTTGTGAAGTTTGCATTCAAGTCACAGAGTTGAACATTCCCTTTCATACAGCAGGTTTGAAACACTCTTTTTGTAGTATCTGGATGTGGACATTTTGAGAGATCTCAGGAATACGGTGATAAAGGAAATATCTTCCAATAAAAGCTAGATAGAAGCATTCTCAGAATCTTATTTGTGATGTGCGCCCTCAACTAACAGTGTTGAACCTTTCTTTTGATAGAGCAGTTTTGAAACACTCTTTTTGTAATATCTGCAAGAGGATATTTGGATAGCTTTGAGGATTTCGCTGGAAACGGGATTGTCTTCATATAAACTCTAGACAGAAGCATTCCCAGTAACTTCTTTGTGATGTTTGCATTCAAGTCACAGAGTTGAACATTCCCTTTCATACAGCAGGTTTGAAACACTCTTTTTGTAGTATCTCTATGTGGACATTTGGAGCGCTTTCAGGCCTATGGTGAAAAAGGAAATATCTTCCCCTGAAAACTAGACAGAAGCATTCTCAGAAACTTATTTGTGATGTGCGCCCTCAACTAACAGTGTTGAACCTTTCTTTTGATAGAGCAGTTTTGAAACACTCTTTTTGTAATATCTGCAAGAGGATATTTGGATAGCTTTGAGGATTTCGTTGGAAACGGGATTACATATAAAAAGCAGACAGCAGCATTCCCAGAAACTTCTTTGTGATGTTTGCATTCAAGTCACAGAGTTGAACATTCCCTTTCAGAGAGCAGGTTTGAAACACTCTTTTTGTAGTATCTGGATGTGGACATTTGGAGCGCTTTCAGGCCTATGGTGAAAAAGGAAATATCTTCCCCTGAAAACTAGACAGAAGCATTCTCAGAAACTTATTTGTGATGTGCGCCCTCAACTAACAGTGTTGAACTTTTCTTTTGATAGAGCAGTTTTGAAACACTCTTTTTGTAAAATCTGCAAGAGGATATTTGGATAGCTTTGAGGATTTCGTTGGAAACGGGATTGTCTTCATATAAAATCTAGACAGAAGCATTCTCAGAAGCTTCATTGGGATGTTTCAATTGAAGTCACAGTGTTGAACAGTCCCTTTCATAGAGCAGGTTTGAAACACTCTTTTTGTAGTATCTGGAAGTGGACATTTGGAGCGCTCTCAGGACTACGGTGAAAAAGGAAATATCTTCCAATAAAAGCTAGATAGAAGCAATGTCAGAAACTTTTTCATGATGTATCTACACAGCTAAAAGAAGTTGAACCTTTCTTTTGAGAGAGCAGTTTTGAAACACTCTTTTTGTGGAATCTGCAAGTGGATATTTGTCTAGCTTTGAGGATTTCGTTGGAAACGGGATTACATATCAAAAGCAGACAGCAGCATTCCCAGTAACTTCTTTGTGATGTTTGCATTCAAGTCACAGAGTTGAACATTCCCTTTCATAGAGCAGGTTTGAAACACTTTTTTTGTAGTATCTGGATGTGGACATTTGGAGCGCTTTCAGGCCTATGGTGAAAAAGGAAATATCTTCCAATAAAAGCTACATAGAAGCAATGTCAGAAACTTTTTCATGATGTATCTACTCAGCTAACAGAGTTGAACCTTTCTTTTGAGAGAGCAGTTTTGAAACACTCTCTTTGTGGAATCTGGAAGTGGATATTTGTCTAGCTTTGAGGATTTCGTTGGAAACGGGATTACATATAAAAAGCAGACAGCAGCATTCCCAGAAACTTCTTTGTGATGTTTGCATTCAACTCACAGAGTTGAACATTCCCTTTCATAGAGCAGGTTTGAAACACTCTTTTTGTAGTATCTGGATGTGGACATTTGGAGCGCTTTCAGGCCTATGGTGAAAAAGGAAATATCTTCCCCTGAAAACTAGACAGAAGCATTCTCAGAAACTTATTTGTGATGTGCGCCCTCAACTAACAGTGTTGAAGCTTTCTTTTGATAGAGCAGTTTTGAAACACTCTTTTTGTAATATCTGCAAGAGGATATTTGGATAGCTTTGAGGATTTCGTTGGAAACGGGATTAATTATAAAAAGCAGACAGCAGCATTCTCAGTAAACTTATTTGTGATGTGCGCCCTCAACTAACAGTGTTGAACCTTTCTTTTGATAGAGCAGTTTTGAAACACTCTTTTTGTAATATCTGCAAGAGGATATTTGGATAGCTTTGAGGATTTCGTTGGAAACGGGATTGTCTTCATATAAACTCTAGACAGAAGCATTCTCAGAAGCTTCATTGGGATGTTTCAGTTGAAGTCACAGTGTTGAACAGTCCCTTTCATAGAGCAGGTTTGAAACAGTCTTTTCGTAGTATCTGGAAGTGGACATTTGGAGCGCTCTCAGGACTGCGGTGAAAAAGGAAATATCTTCCAATAAAAGCTAGATAGAAGCAATGTCAGAAACTTTTTCATGATGTATCTACTCAGCTAACAGAGTTGAAACTTCCTTTGAGAGAGCAGTTTTGAAACACTCTTTTTGTGGAATCTGCAAGTGGATATTTGTCTAGCTTTGAGGATTTCGTTGGAAACGGGATTACATGTAAAAAGCAGACAGCAGCATTCCCAGTAACTTCTTTGTGATGTTTGCATTCAAGTCACAGAGTTGAACATTCCCTTTCATAGAGCAGGTGTGAAACACTCTTTTTGTAGTATCTGGATGTGGACATTTGGAGCGCTTTCAGGCCTATGGTGAAAAAGGAAATGTCTTCCCCTGAAAACTAGACAGAAGCATTCTCAGAAACTTATTTGTGATGTGCGCCCTCAACTAACAGTGTTGAACCTTTCTTTTGATAGAGCAGTTTTGAAACACTCTTTTTGTAATATCTGCAAGAGGATATTTGGATAGCTTTGAGGATTTCGTTGGAAACGGGATTGTCTTCATATAAACTCTAGACAGAAGCATTCTCAGAAGCTTCATTGGGATGTTTCAATTGAAGTCACAGTGTTGAACAGTCCCTTTCATAGAGCAGGTTTGAAACACTCTTTTTGTAGTATCTGGAAGTGGACATTTGGAGCGCTCTCAGGACTACGGTGATAAAGGAAATATCTTCCAATAAAAGCTAGATAGAAGCAATGTCAGAAACTTTTTCATGATGTATCTACTCAGCTAACAGAGTTGAACCTTTCTTTTGAGAGAGCAGTTTTGAAACACTCTTTTTGTGGAATCTGCAAGTGGATATTTGTCTAGCTTTGAGGATTTCGTTGGAAACGGGATTACATATAAAAACCAGACAGCAGCATTCCCAGAAACTTCTTTGTGATATTTGCATTCAACTTCCACAGTTGAACATTCCCTTTCATAGAGCAGGTTTGAAACACTCTTTTTCTAGTATCTGGATGTGGACATTTGGAGCGCTTTCAGGCCTATGGTGAAAAAGGAAATATCTTCCACTGAAAACTAGACAGAAGCATTCTCAGAATCTTATTTGTGATGTGCGCCCTCAACTAACAGTGTTGAAGCTTTCTTTTGATAGAGCAGTTTTGAAACACTCTTTTCGTAAAATCTGCAAGAGGATATTTTGATAGCTTTCAGGATTTCGTTGGAAACGGGATTGTCTTCATATAAACTCTAGACAGAAGCATTCTCAGAAGCATCATTGGGATGTTTCAATTGAAGTCACAGTGTTGAACAGTCCCTTTCATAGAGCAGGTTTGAAACACTCTTTTTGTAGTATCTGGATGTGGACATTTGGAGCGCTTTCAGGCCTATGGTTTAAAAGGAAATATCTTCCCCTGAAAACTAGACAGAAGCATTCTCAGAAACTTATTTGTGATGTGCGCCCTCAACTAACAGTGTTGAAGCATTCTTTTGATAGAGCAGTTTTGAAACACTCTTTTTGTGGAATCTGCAAGTGGATATTTGTCTAGCTTTGAGGATTTCGTTGGAAACGGGATTACATATAAAAAGCAGACAGCAGCATTCTCAGTAAACTTATTTGTGATGTGCGCCCTCAACTAACAGTGTTGAACCTTTCTTTTGATAGAGCAGTTTTGAAACACTCTTTTTGTAATATCTGCAAGAGGATATTTGGATAGCTTTGAGGATTTCGTTGGAAACGGGATTGTCTTCATATAAACTCTAGACAGAAGCATTCTCAGAAGCTTCATTGGGATGTTTCAATTGAAGTCACAGTGTTGAACAGTCCCTTTCATAGAGCATGTTTGAAACACTCTTTTTGTAGTATCTGGAAGTTGACATTTGGAGCGTTTTCAAGACTACGGTGAAAAAGGAAATATCTTCCAAATAAAGCTAGATAGAAGCAATGTCAGAAAATTGTTCATGATGTATCTACTCAGCTAACAGAGTTGAACCTTTCTTTTGAGAGAGCAGTTTTGAAACACTCTTTTTGTGGAATCTGCAAGTGGATATTTGTCTAGCTTTGAGGATTTCGTTGGAAACGGGATTACATATAAAAAGCAGACAGCAGCATTCCCCGAAACTTCTTTGTGATGTTTGCATTCAAGTCACAGAGTTGAACATTCCCTTTCATAGAGCAGGTTTGAAACACTCTTTTTGTAGTATCTGGATGTGGACATTTGGAGCGCTTTCAGGCCTATGGTGAAAAAGGAAATATCTTCCCCTGAAAACTAGACAGAAGCATTCTCAGAATCTTATTTGTGATGTGCGCCCTCAACTAACAGTGTTGAAGCTTTCTTTTGATAGAGCAGTTTTGAAACGCTCTTTTTGTAAAATCTGCAAGAGGATATTTGGATAGCTTTGAGGATTTCGTTGGAAACGGGATTGTCTTCATATAAACTCTAGACAGAAGCATTCTCAGAAGCGTCATTGGGATGTTTCAATTGAAGTCACAGTGTTGAACAGTCCCTTTCATAGAGCAGGTTTGAAACACTCTTTTTGTAGTATCTGGATGTGGACATTTGGAGCGCTTTCAGGCCTATGGTTTAAAAGGAAATATCTTCCCCTGAAAACTAGACAGAAGCATTCTCAGAAACTTATTTGTGATGTGCGCCTTCAACTAACAGTGTTGAAGCATTCTTTTGATAGAGCAGTTTTGAAACACTCTTTTTGTGGAATCTGCAAGTGGATATTTGTCTAGCTTTGAGGATTTCGTTGGAAACGGGATTACATATAAAAAGCAGACAGCAGCATTCTCAGAAACTTATTTGTGATGTGCGCCCTCAACTAACAGTGTTGAAGCTTTCTTTTGATAGAGCAGTTTTGAAACACTCTTTTTGTAAAATCTGCTAGAGGTTATTTGGATAGCTTTGAGGATTTCGTTGGAAACGGGATTGTCTTCATATAAACTCTAGACAGTAGCATTCTCAGAAGCTTCATGGGGATGTTTCAACTGAAGTCACAGTGTTGAACAGTCCCTTTCATAGAGCAGGTTTGAAACACTCTTTTTGTAGTATCTGGAAGTGGACATTTGGAGCGCTCTCAGGACTACGGTGAAAAAGGAAATATCTTCCAATAAAAGCTAGATAGAAGCAATGTCAGAAACTTTTTCATGATCTATCTACTCAGCTAACAGAGTTGAACCTTTCTTTTGAGACAGCAGTTTTGAAACACTCTTTTGGTGGAATCTGCAAGTGGATATTTGTCTAGCTTTGAGGATTTCGTTGGAAACGGGATTACATATAAAAAGCAGACAGCAGCATTCCCAGAAATTTCCTTTGTGATGTTTGCATTCAAGTCACAGAGTTGAACATTCCCTTTCATAGAGCAGGTTTGAAAGACTCTTTTTGTAGTATCTGGATGTGGACATTTGGAGCGCTTTGAGGCCTATGGTGAAAAAGGAAATATCTTCCCCTGAAAACTAGACAGAAGCATTCTCAGAAACTTATTTGTGATGTGCGCCCTCAACTAACAGTGTTGAAGCTTTCTTTTGATAGAGCAGTTTTGAAACACTCTTTTTGTAATATCTGCTAGAGGTTATTTGGATAGCTTTGAGGATTTCGTTGGAAACGGGATTGTCTTCATATAAACTCTAGACAGTAGCATTCTCAGAAGCTTCATTGGGATGTTTCAATTAAAGTCACAGTGTTGAACAGTCCCTTTCATAGAGCAGGTTTGAAACACTCTTTTTGTAGTATCTGGAAGTGGACATTTGGAACGCTCTCAGGACTGCGTTGAAAAAGGAAATATCTTCCAATAAAAGCTAGATAGAAGCAATGTCAGAAACTTTTTCATGATGTATCTACTCAGCTAACAGAGTTGAACCTTCATTTGAGAGAGCAGTTTTGAAACACTCGTTTTGTGGAATCTGCAAGTGGATATTTGTCTAGCTTAGAGGATTTCGTTGGAAACGGGATTACATATAAAAAGCAGACAGTAGCATTCCCAGAATCTTGTTTGTGATGTTTGCATTCAAGTCACAGAGTTGAACATTCCCTTTCATAGAGCAGGTTTGAAACACTCTTTTTATAGAATCTGGATGTGGACATTTGGAGCGCTTTCAGGCCTATGGTGAAAAAGGAAATATCTTCTCCTGAAAACTAGACAGAAGCATTCTCAGAAACTTATTTGTGATGTGCGCCCTCAACTAACAGTGTTGAACCTTTCTTTTGATAGGGCAGTTTTGAAACACTCTTTTTGTAAAATCTGCAAGAGGATATTTGGATAGCTTTGAGGATTTCGTTGGAAACGGGATTGTCTTCATATAAACTCTAGACAGAAGCATTCTCAGAAACTTCATTGGGATGTTTCAATTGAAGTCACAGTGTTGAACAGTCCCTTTCGTAGAGCAGGTTTGAAACACTCTTTTTGTAGTATCTGGAAGTGGACATTTGGAGCGCTCTCAGGACTACGGTGAAAAAGGAAATATCTTCCAATAAAAGCTAGATAGAAGCAATGTCAGAAAATTTTTCATGATGTATCTACTCAGCTAACAGAGTTGAACCTTTCTTTTGAGAGAGCAGTTTTGAAACACTCTTTTTGTGGAATCTGCAAGTGGATATTTGTCTAGCTTTGAGGATTTCGTTGGAAACGGGATTACATATAAAAAGCAGAGAGCAGCATTCCCAGAAACTTCTTTGTGATGTTTGCATTCAAGTCACAGAGTTGAACATTCCCTTTCATAGAGCAGGTTTGAAACACTCTTTTTGTAGCATCTGGATGTGGACATTTGGAGCGCTCTCAGGCCTATGGTGAAAAAGGAAATATCTTCCCCTGAAAACTAGATAGAAGCATTCTCAGAAACTTATTTGTGATGTGCGCCCTCAACTAACAGTGTTGAACTTTTCTTTTGATAGAGCAGTTTTGAGACACTCTTTTTGTAAAATCTGCAAGAGGATATTTGGATAGCTTTGAGGATTTCGTTGGAAACGGGATTGTCTTCATATAAAATCTAGACAGAAGCATTCTCAGAAGCTTCATTGGGATGTTTCAATTGAAGTCACAGTGTTGAACATTCCCTTTCATAGAGCATGTTTGAAACAATCTTTTTGTAGTATCTGGAAGTGGACATTTGGAGCGCTCTCAGGACTACGGTGAAAAAGGAAATATCTTCCAAATAAAGCTAGATAGAAGCAATGTCAGAAACTTTTTCATGATGTATCTACTCAGCCAAAAGCGTTGAACCTTTCTTTTGAGAGAGCAGTTTTGAAACACTCTTTTTGTGGAATCTGCAAGTGGATATTTGTCTAGCTTTGAGGATTGCGTTGAAAACGGGATTACATATAAAAAGCAGACAGCAGCATTCCCAGAAACTTCTTTGTGATATTTGCATTCAAGTCACAGAGTTGAACATTCCCTTTCATAGAGCAGGTTTGAAACACTCTTTTTGTAGTATCTGGATGTGGACATTTGGAGCGCTTTCAGGCCTATGGTGAAAACGGAAATATCTTCCCCTGAAAACTAGACAGAAGCATTCTCAGAATCTTATTTGTGATGTGCGCCCTCAACTAACAGTGTTGAAGCTTTCTTTTGATAGAGCAGTTTTGAAACACTCTTTTTGTAAAATCTGCAAGAGGATATTTGGATAGCTTTGAGGATTTCGTTGGAAACGGGATTGTCTTCATATAAACTCTAGACAGAAGCATTCTCAGAAGCTTCATTGGGATGTTTCAATTGAAGTCACAGTGTTGAACAGTCCCTTTCATAGAGCAGGTTTGAAACACTCTTTTTGTAGTATCTGGAAGTGGACATTTGGAGTGCTCTCAGGACTGCGGTGAAAAAGGAAGTATCTTCCAATAAAAGCTACATAGAAGCAATGTCAGAAACTTTTTCATGATGTATCTACTCAGCTAACAGAGTTGAACCTTTCCTTTGAGAGAGCAGTTTTGAAACACTCTTTTTGTGGAATCTGCAAGTGGATATTTGTCTAGCTTTGAGGATTTCGTTGGAAACGGGATTACATATAAAAAGCAGACAGCGGCATTCCCAGAAACTTCTTTGTGATGTTTGCATTCAAGTCACAGAGTTGAACATTCCCTTTCATAGAGCAGGTTTGAAACACTCTTTTTGTAGTATCTGGATGTGGACATTTGCAGCGCTTTCAGGCCTAAGGTGAAAAAGGAAATATCTTCCCCTGAAAACTAGACAGAAGCATTCTCAGAAACTTATTTGTGATGTGCGCCCTCAACTAACAGTGTTGAAGCTTTCTTTTGATAGAGCAGTTTTGAAACACTCTTTTTGTGGAATCTGCAAGTGGATATTTGTCTAGCTTTGAGAATTTCGTTGGAAACGGGATTACATATAAAAAGCAGACAGCAGCATTCTCAGAAACTTATTTGTGATGTGCGCCCTCAACTAACAGTGTTGAAGCTTTCTTTTGATAGAGCAGTTTTGAAACACTCTTTTTGTAATATCTGCAAGAGGATATTTGGATAGCTTTGAGGATTTCGTTGGAAACGGGATTAATTATACAAAGCAGACAGCAGCATTCTCAGAAGCTTCATTGGGATGTTTCAATTGAAGTCACAGTGTTGAACAGTCCCTTTCATAGAGCATGTTTGAAACACTCTTTTTGTAGTATCTGGAAGTTGAGATTTGGAGCGTTTTCAGGACTACGGTGAAAAAGGAAATATCTTCCAAATAAAGCTAGATAGAAGCAATGTCAGAAACATTTTCATGATGTATCTACTCAGCTAACAGAGTTGAACATTTTTTTTGAGAGAGCAGTTTTGAAACACTCTTTTTGTGGAATCTGCAGGTGGATATTTGTCTAGCTTTCAGGATTTCGTTGGAAACGGGATTACATATAAAAAGCAGACAGCAGCATTCCCAGCAAACTTCTTTGTGTTGTTTGCATTCAAGTCACAGAGTTGAACATTCCCTTTCATAGAGCAGGTTTGAAACACTCTTTTTGTAGTATCTGGATGTGGACATTTGCAGCGCTTTCAGGCCTAACGTGAAAAAGGAAATATCTTCCCCTGAAAACTAGACAGAAGCATTCTCAGAATCTTATTTGTGATGTGCGCCCTCAACTAACAGTGTTGAAGCTTTCTTTTGATAGAGCAGTTTTGAAACACTCTTTTTGTAAAATCTGCAAGAGGATATTTGGATAGCTTTGAGGATTTCATTGGAAACGGGATTGTCTTTATATAAACTCTAGACAGAAGCATTCTCAGAAGCTTCATTGGGATGTTTCAATTGAAGTCACAGTGTTGAACAGTCCCTTTCATAGAGCAGGTTTGAAACACTCTTTTTGTAGTATCTGGATGTGGACATTTGGAGCGCTTTCAGGCCTATGGTGAAAAAGGAAATATCTTCCCCTGAAAACTAGACAGAAGCATTCTCAGAAACTTATTTGTGATGTGCGCCCTCAACTAACAGTGTTGAAGCTTTCTTTTGATAGAGCAGTTTTGAAACACTCTTTTTGTGGAATCTGCAAGTGGATATTTGTCTAGCTTTGAGGATTTCGTTGGAAACGGGATTACATATAAAAAGCAGACAGCAGCATTCTCAGAAACTTATTTGTGATGTGCGCCCTCAACTAACAGTGTTGAAGCTTTCTTTTGATAGAGCAGTTTTGAAACACTCTTTTTGTAATATCTGCAAGAGGATATTTGGATAGCTTTGAGGATTTCGTTGGAAACGGGATTAATTATACAAAGCAGACAGCAGCATTCTCAGAAGCTTCATTGGGATGTTTCAGTTGAAGTCACAGTGTTGAACAGTCCCTTTCATAGAGCAGGTTTGAAACACTCTTTTTGTAGTATCTGGAAGTGGACATTTGGAGCGCTCTCAGGACTGCGGTGAAAAAGGAAATATCTTCCAATAAAAGCTAGATAGAAGCAATGTCAGAAACTTTTTCATGATGTATCTACTCAGCTAACAGAGTTGAACCTTCCTTTGAGAGAGCAGTTTTGAAACACTCTTTTTGTGGAATCTGCAAGTGGATATTTGTCTAGCTTTGAGGATTGCGTTGGAAACGGGATTACATATAAAAAGCAGACAGCAGCATTCCCAGAAACTTCTTTGTGATGTTTGCATTCAAGTCACACAGTTGAACATTCCCTTTCATAGAGCAGGTTTGAAACACTCTTTTTGTAGTATCTGGATGTGGACATTTGGAGCGCTTTCAGGCCTATGGTGAAAAAGGAAATATCTTCCCCTGAAAACTAGACAGAAGCATTCTCAGAATCTTATTTGTGATGTGCGCCCTCAACTAACAGTGTTGAAGCTTTCTTTTGATAGAGCAGTTTTGAAACACTCTTTTTGTAAAATCTGCAAGAGGATATTTGGATAGCTTTGAGGATTTCGTTGGAAACGGGATTGTCTTCATATAAACTCTAGACAGAAGCATTCCCAGAAAGTTCTTTGTGATGTTTGCATTCAAGTCACAGAGTTGAACATTCCCTTTCATAGAGCAGGTTTGAAACACTCTTTTTGTAGTATCTGGATGTGGACATTTGGAGCGCTTTCAGGCCTATGGTGAAAAAGGAAATATCTTCCCCTGAAAACTAGACAGAAGCATTCTCAGAAACTTATTTGTGATGTGCGCCGTCAACTAACAGTGTTGAAGCTTTCTTTTGATAGAGCAGTTTTGAAACACTCTTTTTGTGGAATCTGCAAGTGGATATTTGTCTAGCTTTTAGGATTTCGTTGGAAACGGGATTACATATAAAAAGCAGACAGCAGCATTCTCAGTAAACTTATTTGTGATGTGCGCCCTCAACTAACAGTGTTGAACCTTTCTTTTGATAGAGCAGTTTTGAAACACTCTTTTTGTAATATCTGCAAGAGGATATTTGGATAGCTTTGAGGATTTCGTTGGAAACGGGATTGTCTTCATATAAACTCTAGACAGAAGCATTCTCAGAAGCTTCATTGGGATGTTTCAATTGAAGTCACAGTGTTGAACAGTCCCTTTCATAGAGCAGGTTTGAAACACTCTTTTTGTAGTATCTGGAAGTGGACATTTGGAGCGCTCTCAGGACTGCGGTGAAAAAGGAAATATCTTCCAATAAAAGCTACATAGTAGCAATGTCAGAATCTTTTTCATGATGTGTCTACTCAGCTAACAGAGTTGAACCTTCCTTTGAGACAGCAGTTTTGATACACTCTTTTTGTGGAATCTGCAAGTGGATATTTGTCTAGCTTTGAGGATTTCGTTGGAAACGGGATTACATATAAAAAGCAGACAGCAGCATTCCCAGTAACTTCTTTGTGATGCTTGCATTCAAGTCACAGAGTTGAACATTCCCTTTCAAAGAGCAGGTTTGAAACACTCTTTTTGTAGTATCTGGGTGTGGACATTTGGAGCGCTTTCAGGCCTATGGTGAAAAAGGAAATATCTTCCCCTGAAAACTAGACAGAAGCATTCTCAGAAACTTATTTGTGATGTGCGCCCTCAACTAACAGTGTTGAAGCTTTCTTTTGATAGAGCAGTTTTGAAACACTCTTTTTGTGGAATCTGCAAGTGGATGTTTGTCTAGCTTTGAGGATTTCGTTGGAAACGGGATTGTCTTCATATAAACTCTAGACAGAAGCATTCTCAGAAGCTTCATTGGGATGTTTCAATTGAAGTCACAGTGTTGAACAGTCCCTTTCATAGAGCAGGTTTGAAACACTCTTTTTGTAGTATCTGGATGTGGACATTTAGAGCGCTTTCAGGCCTATGGTGAAAAAGGAAATATCTTCCCCTGAAAACTAGACAGAAGCATTCTCAGAAACTTATTTGTGATGTGCGCCCTCAACTAACAGTGTTGAAGCTTTCTTTTGATAGAGCAGTTTTGAAACACTCTTTTTGTGGAATCTGCATCTGGATATTTTTCTAGCTTTGAGGATTTCGTTGGAAACGGGATTACATATAAAAAGCAGTCAGCAGCATTCTCAGTAAACTTATTTGTGATGTGCGCCCTCAACTAACAGTGTTGAACCTTTCTTTTGATAGAGCAGTTTTGAAACACTCTTTTTGTAATATCTGCAAGAGGATATTTGGATAGCTTTGAGGATTTCGTTGGAAACGGGATTGTCTTCATATAAACTCTAGACAGAACCATTCTCAGAAGCTTCATTGGGATGTTTCAATTGAAGTCACAGTGTTGAACAGTCCCTTTCATAGAGCAGGTTTGAAACACTCTTTTTGTAGTATCTGGAAGTGGACATTTGGAGAGATCTCAGGAATACGGTGATAAAGGAAATATCTTCCAATAAAAGCTAGATAGAAGCAATGTCAGAAACTTTTTCATGATGTATCTGCTCAGCTAACAGAGTTGAACCTTTCTTTTGAGACAGCAGTTTTGAAACACTCTTTTTGTGGAATCTGCAAGTGGATATTTGTCTAGCTTTGAGGATTTCGTTGGAAACGGGATTACATATAAAAAGCAGACAGCAGCATTCCCAGAAACTTCTTTGTGATGTTTGCATTCAAGTCACAGAGTTGAACATTCCCTTTCATAGAGCAGGTTTGAAACACTCTTTTTGTAGTATCTGTATACGGACATTTGCAGCGCTTTCAGGCCTAAGGTGAAAAAGGAAATATCTTCCCCTGAAAACTAGACAGAAGCATTCTCAGAATCTTATTTGTGATGTGCGCCCTCAACTAACAGTGTTGAAGCTTTCTTTTGATAGAGCAGTTTTGAAACACTCTTTTTGTAAAATTTGCAAGAGGATATTTGGATAGCTTTGAGGATTTCATTGGAAACGGGATTGTCTTCATATAAACTCTAGACAGAAGCATTCTCAGAAGCTTCATTGGGATGTTTCAATTGAAGTCACAGTGTTGAACAGTCCCTTTCATAGAGCAGGTTTGAAACACTCTTTTTGTAGTATCTGGAAGTTTACATTTGGAGCGCTCTCAGGACTACGGTGAAAAAGGAAATATCTTCCAATAAAAGCTAGATAGAAGCAATGTCAGAAACTTTTTCATGATGTATCTACTCAGCTAACAGAGTTGAACCTTCCTTTGAGAGAGCAGTTTTGAAACACTCTTTTTGTGGAATCTGCAAGTGGATATTTGTCTAGCTTTGAGGATTTCGTTGGAAACGGGATTACATATAAAAAGCAGAAAGCCAGCATTCCCAGTAACTTCTTTGTGATGTTTGCATTCAAGTCACAGAGTTGAACATTCCCTTTCATACAGCAGGTTTGAAACACTCTTTTTGTAGTATCTGGATGTGGACATTTGCAGCGCTTTCAGGCCTAAGGTGAAAAAGGAAATATCTTCCCCTGAAAACTAGACAGAGCATTCTCAGAATCTTATTTGTGATGTGCGCCCTCAACTAACAGTGTTGAAGCTTTCTTTCGATACAGCAGTTTTGAAACACTCTTTTTGTAAAATCTGCAAGAGGATATTTGGATAGCTTTGAGGATTTCGTTGGAAACGGGATTGTCTTCATATAAAATCTAGACAGAAGCATTCTCAGAAGCTTCATTGGGATGTTTCAATTGAAGTCACAGTGTTGAACAGTCCCTTTCATAGAGCATGTTTGAAACACTCTTTTTGTAGTATCTGGAATTGGACATTTGGAGCGCTCTCAGGACTACGGTGAAAAAGGAAATATCTTCCAATAAAAGCTAGATAGAAGCATTCTCAGAAACTTATTTGTGATGTGCGCCCTCAACTAACAGTGTTGAAGCATTCTTTTGATAGAGCAGTTTTGAAACACTCTTTTTGTGGAATCTGCAAGTGGATATTTGTCTAGCTTTGAGGATTTCGTTGGAAACGGGATTACATATAAAAAGCAGACAGCAGCATTCTCAGAATCTTATTTGTGATGTGCGCCCTCAACTAACAGTGTTGAAACTTTCTTTTGATAGAGCAGTTTTGAAACACACTTTTAGTAAAATCTGCAAGAGGATATTTGGATAGCTTTGAGGATTCCTTTGGAAACGGGATTGTCTTCATATAAACTCTAGACAGAAGCATTCTCAGAATCTTCATTGGGATGTTTCAATTGAAGTCACAGTGTTGAACAGTCCCTTTCATAGAGCAGGTTTGAAACACTCTTTTTGTAGTATCTGGAAGTGGACATTTTGAGCGCTCTCAGGACTGCGGTGAAAAAGGAAATATCTTCCAATAAAAGCTACATAGAAGCAATGTCAGAATCTTTTTCATGATGTGTCTACTCAGCTAACAGAGTTGAACCTTCCTTTGAGAGAGCAGTTTTGAAACACTCTTTTTGTGGAATCTGCAAGTGGATATTTGTCTAGCTTTGAGGATTTCGTTGGAAACGGGATTACATATAAAAAGCAGACAGCAGCATTCCCAGAATCTTCTTTGTGATGTTTGCATTCAAGTCACAGAGTTGAACATTCCCTTTCATAGTGCAGGTTTGAAACACTCTTTTTGTAGTATCTGGATGTGGACATTTGGAGCGCTTTCAGGCCTATGGTGAAAAAGGAAATATCTTCCCCTGAAAACTAGACAGAAGCATTCTCAGAAACTTATTTGTGATGTGCGCCCTCAACTAACAGTGTTGAAGCTTTCTTTTGATAGAGCAGTTTTGAAACACTCTTTTTGTAATATCTGCAAGAGGATATTTGGATAGCTTTGAGGATTTCGTTGGAAACGGGTTTGTCTTCATATAAACTCTAGACAGAAGCATTCTGACAAGCTTCATTGGGATGTTTCAATTGAAGTCACAGTGTTGAACAGTCCCTTTCATAGAGCAGGTTTGAAACACTCTTTTTGTAGTATCTGGAAGTGGACATTTGGAGAGATCTCAGGAATACGGTGATAAAGGAAATATCTTCCAATAAAAGCTACATAGAAGCAATGTCAGAAACTTTTTCATGATGTATCTACTCAGCTAACAGAGTTGAACCTTTCCTTTGAGAGAGCAGTTTTGAAACACTCTTTTTGTGGAATCTGCAAGTGGATATTTGTCTAGCTTTGAGGATTTCGTTGGAAACGGGATTACATATAAAAAGCAGACAGCAGCATTCCCAGTAACTTCTTTGTGATGTTTGCATTCAAGTCACAGAGTTGAACATTCCCTTTCATAGAGCAGGTTTGAAACACTCTTTTTGAAGTATCTGGATGTGGACATTTGGAGCGCTTTCAGGCCTATGGTGAAAAAGGAAATATCTTCCCTGAAAACTAGACAGAAGCAATTCTCAGAATCTTATTTGTTATGTGCGCCCTCAACTAACAGTGTTGAAGCTTTCTTTTGATAGAGCAGTTTTGAAACACTCTTTTCGTAAAATCTGCAAGAGGATATTTGGATAGCTTTGAGGATTTCGTTGGAAACGGGATTGTCTTCATATAAACTCTAGACAGAAGCATTCTCAGAAGCTTCATTGGGATGTTTCAATTGAAGTCACAGTGTTGAACAGTCCCTTTCATAGAGCAGGTTTGAAACACTCTTTTTGTAGTATCTGGAAGTGGACATTTGGAGAGATCTCAGGAATACGGTGATAAAGGAAATATCTTCCAATAAAAGCTAGATAGAAGCAATGTCAGAAACTTTTTCATGATGTATCTACTCAGCTAACAGAGTTGAACCTTTCTTTTGAGAGAGCAGTTTTGAAACACTCTTTTTGTGCAATCTGCAAGTGGATATTTGTCTAGCTTTGAGGATTTCGTTGGAAACGGGATTACATATAAAAAGCAGACAGCAGCATTCCCAGTAACTTCTTTGTGGTGTTTGCATTCAAGTCACAGAGTTGAACATTCCCTTTCATAGAGCAGGTTTGAAACACTCTTTTTGTAGTATCTGGATGTGGACATTTGGAGCGCTTTCAGGCCTATGGTGAAAAAGGAAATATCTTCCCCTGAAAACTAGACAGAAGCATTCTCAGAAACTTATTTGTGATGTGCGCCCTCAACTAACAGTGTTGAAGCTTTCTTTTGATAGAGCAGTTTTGAAACACTCTTTTCGTAAAATCTGCAAGAGGATATTTTGATAGCTTTGAGGATTACGTTGGAAACGGGATTGTCTTCATATAAACTCTAGACAGAAGCATTCTCAGAAGCTTCATTGGGATGTTTCAATTGAAGTCACAGTGTTGAACAGTCCCTTTCATAGAGCAGGTTTGAAACACTCTTTTTGTAGTATCTGGATGTGGACATTTGGAGCGCTTTCAGGCCTATGGTGAAAAAGGAAATATCTTCCCCTGAAAACTAGACAGAAGCATTCTCAGAAACTTATTTGTGATGTGCGCCTTCAACTAACAGTGTTGAAGCATTCTTTTGATAGAGCAGTTTTGAAACACTCTTTTTGTGGAATCTGCAAGTGGATGGATATTTGTCTAGCTTTGAGGATTTCGTTGGAAACGGGATTACATATAAAAAGCAGACAGCAGCATTCTCAGTAAACTTATTTGTGATGTGCGCCCTCAACTAACAGTGTTGAACCTTTCTTTTGATAGAGCAGTTTTGAAACACTCTTTTTGTAATATCTGCAAGAGGATATTTGGATAGCTTTGAGGATTTCGTTGGAAACGGGATTGTCTTCATATAAACTCTAGACAGAAGCATTCTCAGAAGCTTCATTGGGATGTTTCAGTTGAAGTCACAGTGTTGAACAGTCCCTTTCATAGAGCAGGTTTGAAACAGTCTTTTTGTAGTATCTGGAAGTGGACATTTGGAGCGCTCTCAGGACTGCGGTGAAAAAGGAAATATCTTCCAATAAAAGCTAGATAGAAGCAATGTCAGAAACTTTTTCATGATGTATCTACTCAGCTAACAGAGTTGAACCTTCCTTTGAGAGAGCAGTTTTGAAACACTCTTTTTGTGGAATCTGCAAGTGGATATTTGTCTAGCTTTGAGGATTTCGTTGGAAACGGGATAACATATAAAAAGCAGCCAGCAGCATTCCCAGAAACTTCTTTGTGATGTTTGCATTCAAGTCACAGAGTTGAACATTCCCTTTCATAGAGCAGGTTTGAAACACTCTTTTTGTAGTATCTGGTTGTGGACATTTGCAGCGCTTTCAGGCCTAAGGTGAAAAAGGAAATATCTTCCCCTGAAAACTAGACAGAAGCATTCTCAGAAACTTATTTGTGATGTGCGCCCTCAACTAACAGTGTTGAAGCTTTCTTTTGATAGAGCAGTTTTGAAACACTCTTTTTGTAATATCTGCAAGAGGATATTTGGATAGCTTTGAGGATTTCGTTGGAAACGGGATTGTCTTCATATAAACTCTAGGCAGAAGCATTCTCAGAAGCTTCATTGGGATGTTTCAATTGAAGTCACAGTGTTGAACAGTCCCTTTCATAGAGCAGGTTTGAAACACTCTTTTTGTAGTATCTGGAAGTGGACATTTGGAGAGATCTCAGGACTACGGTGAAAAAGGAAATATCTTCCAATAAAAGCTAGATAGAAGCAATGTCAGAAACTTTTTCATGATGTATCTACTCAGCTAACAGAGTTGAACCTTTCTTTTGAGAGAGCAGTTTTGAAACACTCTTTTTGTGGAATCTGCAAGTGGATATTTTGTCTAGCTTTGAGGATTTCGTTGGAAACGGGATTACATATAAAAAGCAGACAGCAGCATTCCCAGTAACTTCTTTGTGACGTTTGCATTCAAGTCACAGAGTTGAACATTCCCTTTCATAGAGCAGGTTTGAAACACTCTTTTTGTAGTATCTGGATGTGGACATTTGGAGCGCTTTCAGGCCTATGGTGAAAAAGGAAATATCTTCCCCTGAAAACTAGACAGAAGAATTCTCAGAATCTTATTTGTGATGTGCGCCCTCAACTAACAGTCTTGAAGCTTTCTTTTGATAGAGCAGTTTTGAAACACTCTTTTTGTAAAATCTGCAAGAGGATATTTGGATAGCTTTGAGGATTTCGTTGGAAACGGGATTGTCTTCATATAAACTCTAGACAGAAGCATTCTCAGAAGCTTCATTGGGATGTTTCAATTGAAGTCACAGTGTTGAACAGTCCCTTTCATAGAGCAGGTTTGAAACACTCTTTTTGTAGTATCTGGAAGTGGACATTTGGAGAGATCTCAGGAATACGGTGATAAAGGAAATATCTTCCAATAAAAGCTAGATAGAAGCAATGTCAGAAACTTTTTCATGATGTATCTACTCAGCTAACAGAGTTGAACCTTTCCTTTGAGAGAGCAGTTTTGAAACACTCTTTTTGTGGAATCTGTAAGTGGATATTTGTCAAGCTTTGAGGATTTCGTTGGAAACGGGATTACATATAAAAAGCAGACAGCTGCATTCCCAGAAACTTCTTTGTGATGTTTGCATTCAAGTCACAGAGTTGAACATTCCCTTTCATAGAGCAGGTTTGAAACACTCTTTTTGTAGTATCTGTATGTGGACATTTGGAGCGCTTTCAGGCCTATGGTGAAAAAGGAAATATCTTCCCCTGAAAACTAGACAGAAGCATTCTCAGAAACTTATTTGTGATGTGCGCCCTCAACTAACAGTGTTGAACCTTTCTTTTGATAGAGCAGTTTTGAAACACTCTTTTTGTAATATCTGCAAGAGGATATTTGGATAGCTTTGAGGATTTCGTTGGAAACGGGATTGTCTTCATGTAAACTCTAGACAGAAGCATTCTCAGAAGCTTCATTGGGATGTTTCAATTGAAGTCACAGAGTTGAACATTCCCTTTCATAGAGCAGGTTTGAAACACTCTTTTTGTAGTATCTGGATGTGGACATTTGGAGCGCTTTCAGGCCTGAGGTGAAAAAGGAAATATCTTCCCCTGAAAACTAGACAGAAGCATTCTCAGAAACTTATTTGTGATGTGCGCCCTCAACTAACAGTGTTGAAGCTTTCTTTTGATAGAGCAGTTTTGAAACACTCTTTTTGTGGAATCTGCAAGTGGATATTTGTCTAGCTTTGAGGATTTCGTTGGAAACGGGATTACATATAAAAAGCAGACAGCAGCATTCTCAGAAACTTATTTGTGATGTGCGCCCTCAACTAACAGTGTTGAAGCTTTATTTTGATAGAGCAGTTTTGAAACACTCTTTTTGTAATATCTGCAAGAGAATATTTGGATAGCTTTGAGGATTTCGTTGGAAACGGGATTGTCTTCATATAAACTCTAGAAAGAAGCATTCTCAGAAGCTTCATTGGGATGTTTCAATTGAAGTCACAGTGTTGAACAGTCCCTTTCATAGAGCAGGTTTGAAACACTCTTTTTGTAGTATGTGGAAGTTGACATTTGGAGCGCTCTCAGGACTACGGTGAAAAAGGAAATATCTTCCAATAAAAGCTAGATAGAAGCAATGTCAGAAACTTTTTCATGATGTATCTACTCAGCTAACAGAGTTGAACCTTCCTTTGAGAGAGCAGTTTTGAAACACTCTTTTTGTGGAATCTGCAAGTGGATATTTGTCTAGCTTTGAGGATTTCGTTGGAAACGGGATTACATATAAAAAGCAGACAGCAGCATTCCCAGAAACTTCTTTGTGATATTTGCATTCAAGTCACAGAGTTGAACATTCCCTTTCATAGAGCAGGTTTGAAACACTCTTTTTGTAGTATCTGGATGTGGACATTTGGAGCGCTTTCAGGCCTATGGTGAAAACGGAAATATCTTCCCCTGAAAACTAGACAGAAGCATTCTCAGAATCTTATTTGTGATGTGCGCCCTCAACTAACAGTGTTGAAGCTTTCTTTTGATAGAGCAGTTTTGAAACACTCTTTTTGTAAAATCTGCAGGAGGATATTTGGATAGCTTTGAGGATTTCGTTGGAAACGGGATTGTCTTCATATAAACTCTAGACAGAAGACCTTTGGGTATATACCCAGTAATGGGATGGCTGGGTCAAATGGTATTTCTAGTTCTAGATCCCTGAGGAATCGCCACACTGACTTCCACAATGGTTGAACTAGTTTAAAGTCCCACCAACAGTGTAAAAGTGTTCCTATTTCTCCGCATCCTCTCCAGCACCTTTTTTGTAGTATCTGGAAGTGGACATTTGGAGAGTTCTCAGGAATACGGTGAAAAAGGAAATATCTTCCAATAAAAGCTAGATAGAAG